>NC_000006.12:99313214-99464729 GCF_000001405.40 Homo sapiens | reverse complement strand
TGGGGAAGAATGAATAAATATAGAAGTTTACGGGAGACAGATCATGATCGATACAGTGGCAATGTTACTATAGAAAATATTCATCAACCTAGAGCTGCCAAGAAGCATTCTTCATCTAAAGATAAGGTAAGACCATAAGCATCTGTTAGACGTCTGTTTTTTAACAGTTTATTAACAAAAGTTTCAAGCACATCTAAAAGTAGAGAACATAGTGTAATAAACTCTCATGTACCCATTTTTTGGCTTCATAATTATCAACTTGGCTACTTGTATACTAACTATATATATCCCACATCCTCCCCTTCCTCCCATCCCAGACTATTTTTGGATAATCCCAGATTATTTTTGAAATAAATCCCAAATATATCATATACTTCAATGTGTATCTCTACAAGAGAGTTTTTGTTTGTTTGTTTGTTTTTTAAGACGGAGTTTTGCTCTTGTTGCCTAGGCTGGAGTGCAATGGTGCAATCTCAGCTAACTGCAGCCTCCGCCTCCTGGGTTCAAGCGATTCTCCTGCCTCAGCCTCCTGAGTAGCTGGGATTACAGGCATGTGCCACCACGCCTGGCTAATTTTGTATTTTTAATAGAGACGGGGTTTCACCATGTTGGTCAGGCTGGTCTCGAACTCCTGACCTCAGGTGATCTGCCCGCCTCGGCCTCCCAAAGCGCTGGGATTACAGGAGTGAGCCACTGCGCCCAGCACTAACCGAGGGATACTCTTAAAAACCAAAAACCACAGTACCATTATCATATCAAAAATATTAATTCATTATAAATAAATAAGGATTCAGTCATTATTTAAATTTCTGCAGTTGTCTCATAAGTACTTAGTTTTTTATTTTGCTTTCTAAAGTTTGGATTTTAGGATTTAAAAGAGGTCTATGGATTGCAGTGCCTCTTTTTTTTTTTTTTTTTTTTTTTTTTTTGAGATGGAGTCTCGCTCTGTTGCCCAGGTGGCGCGATCTTGGCTCACTGCAACCTCTGCCTCCTGGGTTCAAGCGATTCTCCTGCCTCAGCCTCCTGAGTAGCTGGGAGTACAGGCGCATGTCACCACACCCGGCTAATTTTTGTATTTTTAGTAGAGACCAGGTTTCACCATGTTGGTCAGGCTGGTCTCGAAATCCTGACCTCATGATCCACCCGCCTCAGCCTCCCAATGATTGCCATGTCTCTTAAATCTCTTTTCATCTACAGATTCCCTCTCCCTCTTTTTCCTCCTTTGCAGTTTATTTGCTGAAGAAATCAGGTCCTTTTTTTCAGCAGCATGGTGTTAACAGATTCCTCTGTCACCTTTATTTCTCCTCTGAGACATTTAGATCTAGAGGCCTAGTTAGGTTCAGATTTAATTACTTATTTAATTTTTAGCAAGAAAACTTTTAGGTGGTGGCATGTATACTTCCATCAGCTAGATGCACATAATGTTTTATGTCTCTCTATGATATTACCAGTCACTGATAACCATTGTCTAGATCTATTATTTTACTAGGGACATACCTGGTTGTTGAATTATCCCATGAAAATGGAAAATTATTCCATGAAATGGTGATCATTGTAACCATTGTCTAGACCTATTATTTCACTAGGGACATACCTGGCTGTTGTATTATCCCATGAAAATGGAAAGAAATCAATCTGAACTTATACTTCAGCAAAAAAAACTTTTTTATATGAAATGATTTGTATTAATTTGGCAAATTAATATTAAATTTAACTTACTCTATTAATTAATTAATTAATTAATTATTGAGACAGAGTCTCACACTGTTGCCCAGCCAGGCTGGAGTGCAGTGGCACGATCTCAGCTCACTGCAGCCTCCCAGGTTCAAGTGATTCTTGTGCCTCAGCCTCCCAAGTAGCTGGGACTACATGTGCACACCACCATGCCCGGCTAATTTTTGTTATTTTTTGTAGAGATAGGGTTTTGTCATGTTGGCTGGGCTGGTCTCAAACTCCTGATGACCTCAAGTGATCTACCTGCCTTGGTCTCCCAAAGTGCTGGAATTGCAGGTGTGAGCCACAGCGCTGGGCCTGAATTTAACTTACTCTGTTAGAAGACTTATGTTAGAAGTCACAAGACTTCAGAAAGGACAACATGTTTTCTATAAATAAAAGCTAATTTTGCTTCATAAGATATATAGGACAGTTAAATTCAATTTGAGCATATGCTTTATTCTAATGGTATAAAACAAAGCATCTTACAGAGTTTGAAAAGGTTAAAGCATTAATTGTGTTGCTATTCCCCTAAAAAGCACTGGTTATTAAAATATAAATGTGTAGTGATTTTTTTTCTTTATTTTTATTTAGTTTAAAGAGTTAGGAGATTCTGTGGTACTGGCCAAAGTAGTTTTAATACATCCGCTATCCAAATGTATGAGAGAAATACTTTCCACACAGTATTGGTTAGGAACTGAGAATATGCATATATGATATATAGAAACTGTACCTCAAAGATCTGGACACCACATGGATATAACTTGTGCTTGTGCTGAACAAATTGGACCTACTCTTTATTGAAAATTTTTTTCATATAATATTTTTTGTTACTTTTTTATTGGACCTATTCTTTATTGAACGTTTTTTTCATGTAATAGAGTTACCTTTTTTTTGGTTTTGATGGGAAAAAGTGCAAGTTTGCATACGGTTCTAAAATTAGAAAAGTACAGTTCTAATAACATCTTTAAGGTACTATATTCAAGAAGCGAAAATTTAAATGACATAAATGTATTTCAGTCATTAGGAAGTTTACGTTTAGAAGTTATTTCCAATAGTTCAACTACAGAACCAGTTTAATCATGGAACCAGAATGATTCAGTAGTTAACTACTTTCAGTACTAGTTTTATAAAGATCAATAAAGTCTTGTTTTGCTGATTAGTGAAGCTGTTAATAAGAGTATAAAGATATTTGTGACAAACTTTATAGTATTTTTTAATCTCTTACAGTAATAGAAGCACCTTGCATCTTTTAAAATTATACTAGAGGCACAAGTACTGATTTGATCATAAGTTTTTGAGTTTTTTACCTTTTCTGTTTGCCAAATTATATGAGTTATCTCATTAAAACCACACAAAAACTTAATATGAAGAATGATAAAAATAATTACATAAAAATAGTGAAATTAGCTGAGAAAATCTTGCCCTCAAGTTGGAAGATGTTATCTCTGAGTACCTTGAAAAAGTGCATTTTCTTTTGCTTACTGATAACAGGCAAATAATCCAGTTAAATAAAGCACTGTAAAACTAGTGTGTGCAATTTCTGGCCTAAATACAGAAAAAATAGTAACAGGAGGCAGATACGTAAACAGAGTAAATAGCCATAGGCCTATATAAACATCCTTCTTGAACCAAAAACTAAGGTAAAATGAGCTGCAACAAATGGCTACCAAAAGATATTATGTGAAGTCTATTCCATAGGCTATTTTTCTTCCCTTCTTTCCCCTCCCCACAGCTTTTTAAAAAACCATCATGCTGATTGAATAATTGTAGAGACTGGAAAATCTCAAATTGATATCCTTATATAAAATCCTGCCTCAGCTCATTAGTTCAGAAAGAAATCCAAAAGTTCAGTTCTCTGAGTTGCTTCAACACATAAGTATATTAGTTTTATGAAAGATTTTTTTTTTATTTCATAAAACCTTAATACTTCTGCCAGAATCAGAAGTGCATTGTGCTCTGGTACAATTTACATGAACTTTGGTTCCCACCACCTGTTAGCTGCGCAGCGTTTTGCCAATTAAGCTCTTTGAGACTCGGCTCTTAAATTCAATTATAAGACCAGAATCTTGCTGTTTTTTCTATACATCCCATCTGTTGTTTATTTCTGTTTCTACTTTTCATGCACTTTTGGTTTTAATTGAATAATTTTTGTGTTCCATCTTATTTCCTCTGTTTTCTTTTTAGTTATTATAAAAGGTGTTATTATGGAATTGCTGAAACCTGTGTTGTGCCTCTCATCATTGGGGTTATATTCAGAAAATCATAGTCCTCTTATTTACATGGAAGAAATTAAGAAAATTTCAATCTTTCTATTATTTTACCAATCAGACCAGTCACCAAAAGAATACTGTGTAGTTACGGTATCTATCAATATACTTCAAAATAGATTTGAGGAAAACGCTGTATTCGAAGGGATCTTACCTGATTTTACCATTTTTCCTAGGTGCTAAATTGCTCAAGGTATTATACAGAGATATTTGAGAAAATGGCAACTTAACCTATGTAAATTTTTTTAAGGATAAAATTGAACAGGTACTTAGTAGTTTTAAAGTCCAAGTAAAACAGTTGCAAGGATATTTTTGTTTATCATGTGGTGTTGGCTCAATTTACTCTTGGGAATTTTGGAAACACCCAGAGAAGGTCATATATCTCCCCTTTGATCATTTTCATTTCTTATATTTTTAAACTTTAAAAGTGGGCTTTTCCCCTCTACTTAGTGTCTGTAACAAAAAGAGAAGCTCCTTGCATCTTTTAATAATAGAGGTACAAGTACTGATTTGATAGTAAATTGAGTTTTTCACTTCTCTTTGCTAAATTATACTACAGTTATCTCATTAAAACTGAACAAAGTTTAATATGAAGGATGATAAGCATCAGGTAAGGAAAAAAGGAGAAATAAAACCAAGATATGGTAATGTGAATACAAATGAAAGTTAGCACTGGTGGAAAGGCAACAGATCTGGCCTGAGTATTTTAGAAAGTTTAAAAAATAGTGAAAGGAAACAGTGAATAGAAATTTTTTATTGGAAAATTATGTGAGGCAAAAAAAGCACTACCCAAAAGGTCTGAGGGAAAAGATAGGGAATTATCATGTAGCCATCTGATTAATTTTTTGTTTCCCTAGACCCCACTCCTCTCCCTATTCCCCACCACCATTTGGTGCTCCACATTGCAGACAGGGCAATATTTCTAAAATACAAAAATAGGTCATCATATTCCTTGTAGCCCTCAGAATCAAGTCTGATACATGCAGCCAACAGGCATATGAAAAACTCAGCATCACTAATCATTAGGGAAATGCAAATCAAAAGCACAATGAGATACCATGTCACACCAGTCAGAATGCTATTATTAAAAAGTCAAAAAATAAATGCTGGCGAGGCTGCAGAGAAAAGGAATGCTTATACTCTGTTGGTAGAAGTATAAATTAGTTCAACCGTTGCAGAAAGCAGTGTGGCTATTCCTCAAAGAGCTAAAAACAGAACTACCATTTGACCCAGCATTTCCATTACTGGGTATATACCTGAAGGAATATAAATCATTCTACCATAAAAACACATGTAGGTGAATGTTCATTGCAGCACTATTCACAATAGCAAAGACATGGAATCAACCTAAATGCTGATCAGTGACAGTTTGGATAAGAAAATGTTGTACATATACACCATGGAATACTATGCAGCCATAAAAAAGAATAAGATTGTGCCTTTTACAGGAACGTGGATGGAGCTGGAGGCCATTGTCGTTAGCAAACTCACACAGGAACAGAAAACCAAATACCACAAGTTCTCACTTATAAGTGGGAGCTAAACATTGAGTACACTTGTACACAAGGGAACAAAGACACTGGGGCCTACTGGAGGGTGCACAGGGTGGGAGGAGGGAGAGGATCAGAAAAAATAATATTGGATACTAGGCTTAGTACCTGGGTGAAGAAATAATCTGTATAACAAACCCCTGTGACACAAGTTTACCTTTATAACAAACCTGCACATGTACCCTGAACCTAAAATAAAAGTTGAAAAAATAAATCTCATTGCTGTTCAAAACAAAAACAAGTCTGTGACTTATATGCATCTGGTTAATTTTTGTGTGTCCTTCTCACCTCCCCACACTTGTACTCTATTTTCTAGCTAGACTTCCCTAATTTCTTGTTCTTTGTCTTACCTGTGGGCCTTTGAACTGTCTCTTCTGCCACGAACAGTCCCATTCTCCTCCTGTAGCCTCTGCTCAATTTCTGCATATTTCTCTGATCCACTCAATTCTGGATTAGTTCTTTTCCTCTGGCTTTCTATAGCACTGTATTTCTCCTATCATAACATAAGTTGTACCTAACATTTGAGTTCTTAATTATGTTATGATCACTGTTTTCAGTTATTTACACCAATTATATTGAGCCAAGAGGTGGATTAAATAACATGCCTAAGATCATACAAGTAGTCTGGCAGAAATGGGGATTCAGACAGGTTAAACAAGGACCATGTTCTTAACCACGTATACTGCCCCCTGCTGACTTGAACTTATGTCTCACCATACTTTTATTGGGATGGATTGCAGGATCTGCAAACAGGAACTGAGTCTGTCCTTCTTGCCACTATGTCTCAGGTGCCTAGTTCAGTGCTTGTACATGGATGGTGTTTAGGGAGACCACTGAGCTCATTCTCATGATTGCTGCCAATCGTAATAGCTGATACTGGCTGGGTGCGGTGGCTCACGCCTGTAATCCCAGCACTTTGGGAGGCCGAGGCAGGCAGATCCCAAGGTCCGGAGATGGAGACCATCCTGGCTAACACAGTGAAACCTTATCTCTACTAAAAATGCAAAAAATTAGCCGGTCATGGTGGCACACGCCTGTAATCCAGCTCCTTGGGAGGTTGAGGCAGGAGAATCTCTGGAAACCAGGAGGTGGAGGTTGCAGTGAGCCGAGATTGCGCTACTGCACTCCAGCCTGGGCAACAGAGCGAGACTCCATCTCAAAATAATACTAATAGTAATAATAGCTGATACTTACGCTGCTTACTGTGGGCTACGCACTGCTCTGTGGGCTTTTCTATAGTCTCAAAAAATAAGGATGGGAAGGGGTACTTTTATATTTCACTAGGAGTAGGAGGATAAAAGGGATAGATAGAATAGTCTCATTCAAAAGTTCCTAAGACCAGCTGATGATGAGAATCACCTGTTTATTAAAACGAATTCTCATACCCAACCTCAGACATGATTAATGGGAATTTCTTAGTGGTAATGCCTCGGATATGTATCTTTTAAAACAACAAGCCCTCTTAGGTGAGTCTGATAATCACCTGAATTTGGAAACTATTCAATCAGAATTAGATTAATTGGATTCTGGACACAGCTATTTTTATTAGTTATATGATCTTGGACAAGTTACTAAAAACCTGTATGGGTCTATATTTTCCATTGACCATTAATTTTCTGTTGGTACATAATATTTGTACATATTTATGAGGTATATGTGATATTTTGATACATGCATAGAATGTATCATGATCAAGTCAGGTATCGGGGAACCTGCCCCAATATTCACATAGGTTCTTTTCTATTTTCCTTAAGCATCGGCCAGCTTGAGAAATAAAGGGACAGAGTACAAAAGAGAGAAATTCTAAAGCTGGGCGTCCAGGGGAGACATCACATGTCGGTAGGTTACGTGATGCCCCACAAGCCGCAAAAACCAGCAAGTTTTTATTAGGGATTTTCAAAAGGGGAGGGAGTGTGCAAATAGGTGTGGGTCACAGACATCAAGTACTTTACAAGGTAATAGAATATCACAAGGCAAGTGGAGGCAGGGCAAGATCACAGGACCACAGGACAGAGGTGAAATTAAAATTGCTAATGAAGTTTTGGGCACCATTGTCATTGATAACATCTTATCAGGAGACAGGGTTTTGAGAGCACCCGGTCTGACCAAAATTATTAGGTGGGTATTTTCCCTTCCTAATGAGCCTGGGAGCACTATGGGAGACTGGGGTCTATTTCATCCCTGCAGTCTCGACCATAAGAGACGGCTACGCCCAGGGGGGCCATTCATAGGCCTACCCCCAGGCACGCATTCTCTTTCTCAGGTATGTTCCTTGCTGAGAAAAAGAATTCAGCGATATTTCTCCCATTTGCTTTTGAAAGAAGAGAAATATGGCTCTGTTCCGCCAGCTCACCAGAGGTCAGAGTTTAAGGTTATCTCTCCTATTCCCTGAACAATTGCTGTTATTCTGTTCTTTTTTCAAGGTGCCCAGATTTCATATTGCTCAAACACACATGCTGTACAATTTGTGCAGTTAACGCAATTATCACATGGTCCTGAGGCAACATACATCCTCCTCAGCTGACAGGATTAAGAGATTAAAGTAAAGACAGGCATAGGAAATCACAAGGGTATTGATTGGGGAAGTGATAAGTGTCCATGCAATCTTTATGATTTATGTTTAGAGATTGCAGTAAAGACAGGCATAAGAAATTATAAAAGTATTAATTTGGGGAACTAATAAATGTCCATGAAATCTTCACAATCCACGTTCTTCTGCCATGGCTTCAGCCGGTCCCTCCATTTGGGGTCCCTGACTTCCCACAGTAGTCAGGGTATTTGGGATATCAGTTACCTTAAGCATTTATCATTTCTTTGCATTGAGAACATTTCAGATTTTCTCGTAGCTACCTTGAAATATGTAATCTATGTTGTTAACTGTAGTTACCATACTGTTCTATGGAACATTAGAACTATTCCTTCTAACTCTGTCTTTGTACTCACTAACATACCTCTCTTTTTAGCTTCTCCACTACAACCCCACTCACTCTTTTCTAAGCCTCTGATATCTATCATTCTACTCTCTACTTTCATGAGATCTTTTTTTTTTTTTTTTTTTTTTTCCGAGACAGAGTCTCGCTCTGTTGCCCAGGCTGGAGTACAGTGGCGCGATCTTGGCTCACTGCAAGCTCTGCCTCCCAGGTTCATGCCATTCTCCTGCCTCAGCCTCCCAAGTAGCTGGGACTACAGGTGCCCGCCATCAAGCCCGGTTAATTTTTGTATTTTCAGTAGAGACAGGGTTTCACCTTGTTAGCCAGGATGGTCTCCATCTCCTGACCTCATGATCCACCCGCCTCAGTCTCCCAAAGTGCTGGGATTACAGGTGTGAGCCACTGCGCCTGCCCCAACTTTTTTTTTTTTTTTTTTTTTTTTTTTTTAGCTCTCACATAAGAGTGAGAACATGGGATATTTGCCTTTCTGTGCCTAGCTTGCCTTACTTAACATAATGACCTCCAGTTCAACCCATGTTGATGCAAATGACAGGATTTCATTCTTTTTAGGGCTGAAGAGTATTCCATTATGGATATATACTACATTTTCTTTATCCATTCATCTACTGATGGACACTTAGATTGATTCCATTTCTTGGCTATTGTGAATAGCACTGCAGTAAACATGGGGGTGCAAGTATCCTTTTGATACACTGGTTTTCTTTTCTTTGGATAAATGTCTAGTAGTGGGATTGCTGGATCTTATGGTAGTTATATTTTAGTTTGTTGTTGTTGTTGTTGTTGTTGTTGTTGTTTGAGACAGAGTCTCGCTCCATCGCCCAGGCTGAAGTGCTGTGGCACAGTCTCAGCTCACTGCAACCTCTTCCTCCTGGGTTCAAGTGATTCTCATGCCTCAGCCTCCATCTCCCAAGTAGCTGGGACTACAGGCATGTGCCACCACGCCCAGCTAATTTTTGTATTTTTATTAGAGACAGGGTTTCACCATGTTCCCCAGGCTGGTGGTCTCAAACTCCTGACCTCAAGTGATCTACCCACCTCAGTCTCCCAAAGTGCTGGGATTACAGGTGTGAGCCATCGCACCCAGCCCTATTTTAGTTTTTTGAGAAATCTCCATACTGTTGTGTTTTGTTTTTTTGTTTTTTGTTTTTTTTTTTTTGAGATGGAGTGTCGCTCTGTCACCCGGGCTGGAGTGCAGTGGTGTGATCTTGGCTCACTGCAACCTCCACCTCCCAGGTTCAAGTGATTCTCCTGCCTCAGCCTCCCGAGTAGCTGGCATTACAGGCACCTGCCATCACACCGGGCTTATTTTTTTGTATTTTTGGTAGAGACAGGGTTTTCACCATGTTGGCCAGGATGGTCTTGAACTCTTGACCTCGTGATCCACCTGCCTTGGCCTCCCAAAGTGCTGAGCTTACAGGCATAAGCCACTGCACCCAGCCATCTCCATACTGTTTTCTATGATGGCTGTACTAATTACATTCCCACCAACCGTGTTTCAGACTCCTTTTCTCCACATTCTTGAAGGCATCTTATTATTTGTCTTTTTTGATAATAACCATTCAACTGGGGTAAAATGATATTTCATTGTGGTTTTAATCTGCATTTCCTGGATGATTAGGGATGTTGAGCATTTTTTTCATATACCTCTTGGCCATTTGGATGTCTTCTTTTGGGAAATGTCTAACATTAGTTCCTTATAGGATGAAGAGTTTGCAGATATTTTCTCCCATTCAACAGGAGGTCTCTTCATTCTGTTGATTGTTTCCTTTTCTGTGCAGAAGCTTTTTACAGTGTAGTCCCATTTGTTTTTGTTGCCTGTGCTTTTGAGGTCTCCATAAAATCATTACCTAGACTAATGTCCTGAGTGTTTCTCCTATGTTTTCTTCTTGTGGTTTTATATTCTAGATTTTACATTTAAGTCTTTTATCTATCTTGAGTTGATTTTTGTATATGGTGAGAGATAACATTCTAGTTGTATTCTTCTGCATATGGATAACCAGTTTTCCCAGTACCATTTGTTGAAGAGGGCGTCCTTCCCCCAGTGTTTGTTCTTGGCCCCTTTGTCAGAAATCAGTTGGCTGTAAGTATGTGGATTTCTTTATTCTGTTGCACTGGTCTATGTGTCTGTTTTTATACCATGACCATACTGTTTTGGTTACTGTAGTCTTGTACATTTTGAAGTCAGGTAGTGTGAGGCTTCCAGCTTTCTCCCTTTTGCCCAGGATTGCTTTAGTGATTCTGGCTCTTTTTTGGTTCTATACAAATTTTTTTCTTTTTTTAGATGGAGTTTCACTCTTGTTGCCAAGGCCAGAGTGCCACTGTCAGAGGTGCAATGTCAGCTCACTGCAGTCTCCGCCTCCCAGGTTCAGGCGATTCTTCTGCCTCAGCCTCCCAAGTAGCTGGGATTACAGGTGCCTGCTACCATGCCTGGCTAATTTTTTGTATTTTTAGTAGAGATGGGGTTTCACCGTGCTGGCCAGACTGGTCTCAAATTCTTGGCCTTAGTTGATCTATCTACCTCAGCCTCCCAAAGTGCTGGGATTACAGGCATGAGCCACTGTACCCAGCCAGGTTCCATACATATTTTAGGATTGTTTTTTCTTTTTATGTGAAAAACGTCATTGGAATTTTGATAGGAATTCATGGAGTCTATAGATTGCTTTGGGTAGCATAGTCATTTTAATATTTTCCTGATCCATGAGCATGGGATGCTTTTTCGTTTGTGTCTCCTTCAGTTTCTTTCATCAGTATTTTATAGTTTTCCTTGTGGAGGTCTTTCACCTCCTCAGTTAAATTATTCCTAGGTGGAATTTTTTTTTCTTTTGTAGCCATTGTAAACAGGATTGCTTTGTTGATTTTTTTTTCCAGCTACTTTGTTGTTAGTGTATAGAAACGCTACTGATTTTCATATGTTGATTTTGCATTCAACAACTTTACTGAATTTGTTTATCAGTTCTAAGAGTTTTTTGTTGAAGTCTTTAGGTTATCCTATATGTAAGATTATGTCGTCTGTGAAGAGGAACAATTTGACTTCTTTTCCAATTTGGATGCCTTTTATGTTTTTTTTTTTTTCTTTTTTAAGTTCTAGGGTACATGTGCACAACGTGCAGGTTTGTTACATATGTATACATGTGCCATGTTGGTGTGCTGCACCCATTGACTCGCCATTTACATTAGGTATATCTCCTAATGCTTTCCCTCCCTGCTCCCGCCACCCCACAACAGGCTCCTGTGTGTGATCTTCCCCTTCCTGTGTCCAAGTGTTCTCATTGTTCAATTCCCACCTATGAGTGAGAACATGCAGTGTTTGGTTTTTTGTTCTTGTGATAGTTTGCTGATAATGATGGTTTCCAGCTTCATCCATGTCCCTACAAAGGACATGAACTCATCCTTTTTTATGGCTGCATAGTATTCCATGGTGTATATGTGCCACATTTTCTTAATCCAGTCTATCATTGATGGACATTTGGGTTGGTTCCAAGTCTTTGCTATTGTGAATAGTGCCACAATAAACATACGTGTGCATGTGTCTTTAAGGCAGCATGATTTATAATCTTTTGGGTATATACCCAGTAATGGGATGGCTGGGTTAAATGGCATTTCTAGTTCTAGATCCTTGAGGAATAGCCACGCTGTCTTCCACAATAGTTGAACTAGTTTACAGTCCCACCAACAGTGTAAAAGTGTTCCTATTTCTCCACATCCTCTCCAGCACCTGTTGTTTCCTGACTTTTTAATGATCACCATTCTAACTGGTGTGAGATGGTATCTCACTGTGGTTTTGATTTGCTTTTCTCTGATGGCCAGTGATGATGAGCATTTTTTTCATGTGTCTGTTAGCTGCATAAATGTCTTCTTTTGAGAAGTGTCTGTTCATATCCTTTGCCCACTTTTTGATGGGGTTGTTTTTTTCTTGTAAATTTGTTTGAGTTCTTTGTAGATTCTGGATATTTGCCCTTTGTCACATGAGTAGGTTGCAAAATTTTCTCCCATTCTGTAGGTTGCCTGTTCACTCTGATGGTAGTTTCTTTTCATGTGCAGAAGCTCCTTAGTTTAATTAGATCCCATTTGTCAATTTTGGCTTTTGTTGCCTTTGCTTTTGGTGTTTTAGACATGAAGTCCTTGCCCATGCCTATGTCCTGAATGGTATTGCCTAGGTTTTCTTCTAGGGTTTTTATGGTTTTAGCTCTAACATGTAAGTCTTTGATCCATCTTGAATTAATTTTTGTATAAGGTGTAAGGAAGGGATCCATTTTCAGCTTTCTACATATGGCTAGCCAGTTTTCCCAGCACCATTTATTAAATAGGGAATCCTTTCCCCATTGCTTGTTTTTCTCAGGTTTGTCAAAGATCAGATGGTTGTAGATGTGTGGTATTATTTCTGCGGGTTCTGTTCTGTTCCATTGGTCTATATCTCTGTTTTGGTACCAGTACTATGCTGTTTTGGTTACTATAGCCTTGTAGTATAGTTTGAAGTCAGGTAGCCTGATGCCTCCAGCTTTGTTCTTTTGGCTTAGGATTGTCTTGGAAATGCAGGCTCTTTTTGGTCCCATATGAACTTTAAAGTAGTTTTTTCCAATTCTGTGAAGAAAGTCATTGGTAGCTTGATGGGGATGGCATTGAATCTATAAATTACCTTGGGCAGTATGGCCATTTTCACAATATTGATTCTGCCTATCCATGAGTATGGAAGGTTCTTCCATTTGTTTCTGTTCTCTTTTATTTTGTTGAGCAGTGGTTTGTAGTTCTCCTTGAAGAGGTCCTTCACATCCCTTGTAAGTTGGATTCCTAGGTATTTTATTCTCTTTGAAGCAATTGTGAATGGGAGTTCACTCATGATTTGGCTCTCTGTCTATTATTGGTGTATAAGAATGCTTGTGATTTTTGCACGTTGATTTTGTATCCTGAGACTTTGCTGAAGTTGCTTATCAGCTTAAGGAGATTTTGGGTTGAGATGATGGGGTTTTCTAAATATACAGTCATGTCATCTGCAAACAGGGACAATTTGCCTTCCTCTTTTCCTAATTGAATACCCTTTATTTATTTCTCCTGCCTGATTGCCCTGGCCAGAACTTCCAACACTTGTTAAATAGGAGTGGTGAGAGAGGGCATCCCTGTCTTGTGCCAGTTTTCAAAGGGAATGCTTCCAGTTTTTGCCCATTCAGTATGATATTGGCTGTGGGTTTGTCATAGATAGCTCTTATTATTTTGAGATATGTCCCATCAGTACCTAATTTATTGAGAGTTTTTAGCATTAAGGGCTGTTGAATTTTGTCAAAGGCCTTTTCTGCATCTTTTGAGATAATCATGTGGTTTTTGTCTTTGGTTCTGTTTATATGATGGATTACGTTTATTGATTTGCATATGTTGAACCAGCCTTGCATCCCAGGGATGAAGCCCACTTGATCATGGTGGATAAGCTTTTTGATGTGCTGCTGGATTTGGTTTGCCAGTATTTTATTGAGGATTTTTGCATCGATGTTCATCAGGGATATTGGTCTAAAATTCTCTTTTTTTGTTGTGTCTCTGCCAGGTTTTGGTATCAAGATGATGCTGGCCTCATAAAATGAGTTAGGAAAGATTCCCTCTTTTTCTATTGATTAGAATAGTTTCAGAAGGAATGGTACCAGCTCCTCCTTGTACCTCTGGTAGAATTCGGCTGTGAATCCGTCTGGTCCTCAACTTTTTTTGATTGGTAGGCTATTAATTATTGCCTCTATTTCAGAGCCTGTTATTGATCTATTCAGGGATTCAAGTTCTTCCTGGTTTAGTCTTGGGAGGGTGTATGTGTGGAGGAATTTATCCATTTCTTCTAGGTTTTCTAGTTTATTTGCGTAGAGGTGTTTATAGTATTCTCTGATGGTAGTTTGTATTTCTGTGGGATCAGTGGTGATATCCCCTTTATCACTTTTTATTGTGCCTATTTGATTCTTCTCTCTTTTCTTCTTTATTTGTCTTGCTAGTGGTTTATCGATTTTGTTGATCTTTTCAAAAAACCAGCTCCTGGATTCATTGATTTTTTGAAGGGTTTTTTTTTGTGTCTCTATCTCTTTCAGTTCTGCTCTGATCTTAGTTATTTCTTGCCTTCTGCTAGCTTTTGAATTTGTTTGCTCTTGCTTCTCTAGTTCTTTTAATTGTGATGTTAGGGTGTCAATTTTAGATCTTTCCTGCTTTCTCTTGTGGGCATTTAGTACTATAAATTTCCCTCTACACACTGCTTTAAATGTGTCCCATAGATTCTGGTATGTTGTGTCTTTGTTCTCATTGGTTTCAAAGAGCATCTTTATTTCTGCCTTCATTTCGTTATGTAACCAGTAGTCATTCAGGAGCAGGTTTTTCAGTTTCCATGTAGTTGAGCGGTTTTGAGTGAGTTTCTTAATCCTGAGTTCTAGTTTGATTGCACTGTGGTCTGAGAGACAATTTGTTATAATTTCTGTTCTTTTACATTTGCTGAGGAGTGCTTGACTTCCAACTGTGTGGTCAATTTTGGAATAAGTGTGATGTGCTGAGAAGAATGTATATTCTGTTGATTTGGGGTGGAGAGTTCTGTTCATGTCTACTAGGTCCACTTGATGCAGAGCTGAGTTCAATTCCTGGCTATCCTTGTTAACTTTCTGTCTCATTGATCTGTCTAATGTTGACAGTGGGGTGTTAAAGTCTCCCATTATTATTGTGTGGGAGTCTAAGTTTCTTTGTAGGTCTCTGGGGACTTGCTTTATGAATGTGGGTGCTCCTGTATTGGGTGCTCCTGTATTGGGTGCATATATATTTAGGATAGTTAGCTCTTCTTGTTGAATTGATCCCTTTACCATTATGTAATGACCTTCTTTCTCTTTTGATCTTTGTTGTTTTAAAGCCTGTTTTATCAGAGACTAAGATTGCAACCCCTGCCTTTTTTTGTTTTCCATTTGCTTGGTAGATCTTCCTCCATCCTTTTATTTTGAGTCTATGTGTGTCTCTGCACGTGAGATGGGTCTCCTGAATACAGCACACTGATGGGTCTTGACTCTTTATGCAGTTTTTCAGTCTGTATCTTTTAATTGGAGCATTTAGCCCATGTACATTTAAGGTTAATATTGTTATGTGTGAATCTGATCCTGTCATGATGTTAGCTGGTTATTTTGCTCGTTAGTTGATGCCGTTTCTTCCTAGCATTGATGGTCTTTACAGTTTGGCATGTTTTTGCTGTGGCTAGTACCAGTTGTTCCTTTCCATGTTTAGTGCTTCCTTCAGGAGCTCTTGTAGGGCAGGTCTGGTGGTGACACAATCTCTCAGCATTTGCTTGTCTGTAAAGGATTTTATTTCTCGTTCACTTATGAAGCTTAGTTTGGCTGGATATGAAATTCTGGGGTGAAAATTCTTTTAAGAATGTTGACTATTGGCCCCCAATCTCTTCTGGCTTGTAGAGTTTCTGCCAAGAGATCTGCTGTTAGTCTGATGGGTTTCCCTTTGCGGGTAACCTGACCTTTCTCTCTGGCTGCCCTTAACATTTTTTCCTTCATTTCAACTTTGGTGAATCTGACAATTATGTGTTTTGGAGTTGCTCTTCTCAAGGAGTATCTTTGTGGCGTTTTCTGTATTTGCTGAATTTGCATGTTGGCCTGCCTTGCTATGTTGGGGAAGTTCTCCTGGATAATATCCTGCAGAGTGTTTTCCATTCTCCCTGTCACTTTCAGGTACAGCAATCAGACATAGATTTGGTCTTTTCACATATTCCCATATTTCTTGGAGGCTTTGTTTCTTTTTATTCTTTTTTCTCTAAACTTCTCTTCTTGCTTCATTTCATTCATTTGATCTTCAATCACTGATATCCTTTCTTGCAGTTGATCAAATCGGCTACTGAAGCTTGTGCATTTGTCACGTAGTTCTCCTGTCATGGTTTTCAGCTCAATCAGGTCATTTAAGGACTTCTCTACACTGATTATTCTAGTCAGCCCTTTGTCTAATCTTTTTTCAAGGTTTTTAACTTATTTGCATTGGGTTCGAACTTCCTCATTTAGCTAGGAGAAGTTTGATCATCTGAAGCCTTCTTCTCTCAACTCGTCAAAGTCATTCTCCGTCCAGCTTTGTTCCGTTGCTGGCGAGGAGCTGTGTTCCTTTGGAAGGGGAGAGGCGCTCTGATTTTTAGAATTTTCAGCTTTTCTGCTCTGTTTTTTCCCCATCTTTGTGGTTTTATCTACCTTTGGTCTTTGATGATGGTGACTGACAGATGGGGTTTTGGTGTGGATGTCCTGTTTGTTAGTTTTCCTTCTAACAGTCAGGACCCTCAGCTGCAGGTCTGTTGGAGTTTGCTGGAGGTCCACTCCAGGCCCTGTTTGCCTGGATATCAGCAGCGGAGGCTGCAGAACAGCGAATATTGCTGAATAGCAAATGTTGCTACCTGATCGTTCCTCTGGAAGCTTTGTCTCAGATGGGTACCCGGCCGTGTGAGGTGTCAGTGTGCCCCTACTGGGGGGTGCCTCCCAGTTAGGCTACTCGGAGGTCAGGGACCCACTTGAGGAGGCAGTCTGTCCGTTCTCAGATCTCAAACTCTGTGCTGCGAGAACCACTACTCTCTTCAAAGCTGTCAGACAGGGACATTCAAGTCTGCAGGGGTTTCTGCTGCCTTTTGTTGGGCTGTGCCCTGACCCCAGAGGTGGAGTCTACAGAGGCAGGCAGGCCTCCTTGAGCTGTGGTGGGCTCCACCCAGTTCGAGCTTCCTGGCCGGCCGCTTTGTTTACCAACTGTTAGTATTATATGTATAATAGGAAAGTTTGTTTCCAAAAAAAAGTACTATATAAATTCAGCGGAGTGGAACTTGTTGGCTAATGTTATTTTTCCTGATTTTGCAGATAAAAAAAATTGAGGCAAGACACTTTTTATAACTTACTCTTCTTCCCCTGAATAACTAAAACTGAGTATCAATTACTCATGATAGTCTTTTCTTTATTTTTTGTCTTGACCCTTCAGCCAAGGTATAGGAAAAGAAAAATGTACTTCAAGCCATCAGCTGTGTGGAAACTTTAGTGAAACATTTCAGGTAGCTTAAAATTTTTAATTAGTTGATTCCCCCCTTCCCAAACTTAGGTTATTTTTTTCCCGTAATTTTCTTCCAGATCTATGGCAACCAAGCAACACTGTGTCATAATAGTTTATAGTTTACTTTTGTTACTTTTTAATTTGTTTAAAAAACAGATACATTTTCAGTGTTTAAAAATGAACAAGTATGGAAAGGCTTATACAGTAACTGAAAAGTCTCCTTTGGGAAGCCAAGGTGGGAGGATTGCTTGAGGTCAGGAGTTCAAGACCAGCCTAAGCAACATGGCGAGACTTTATCTCTACAAAAAATTAAAAAATTAGCCAGGTATGGTGGTACATACTTGTAGTAGTAACTACATGGGAGGCTGAGGTGGGAGGATCACTTGAGTCCGAGAGTTTGAGGCTGCGGTGAGCTGTGATTGTGCCACTGCACTCTAGCCTGGGCAACAGAGCAAGATGCTGTCTCTAAAAGAGATTTTTCTTTTAAAGAAAAAAGTCTCCCTCATAGCCCTGTTCTACAAAAGTCCTATTTCCTTCCCCACAAATAGCCTCTGTTACACTGTTGTTAGTTTCTTGTGTGAAGATTTACTTTTAAAATAGAACTATTTTTTAGTATATCTTCTAGTGATCTTAGTTTCAGTAGGCTTAGGAAATGGATCTGAGAGAAATGGTATTTAATAACTATGATATGTTTAAGAATTATTGGCATTTATTTTCAATGAGGTTACAAGACTCTTTTCTTTGAAAACACTGTCAACTTACAGAGTCAACTAATTCATGACCGAAAATGTATTAGAAAATTGTCATCTGGAGAAACTGTCACATACCAGAAAAATGAAAACCTTGAAATGAATGGGGATTCTTTAATGTTTGCCAGCCTCATGAATTCTGAGTCACGTCTGAATGAAAGCCCTACTGATGACAGTGAAAAAGAAGCCAGCCATTCTGAAAGCAATGTTGATGCTGACAGTGAGCCTTCAGAATCTGAAAGTGCTTCAAAGCAGACTGGGCTGTTCAGATCCAGTAGTGGATCCGGTGTGCAGCCAGATGGACCCCTTTACCCTCTGTCAGCAGGTAAACTGCTGTACACCAAGGAGACTGACAGTGGTGATAAGGAAATGGCAGAAGCTATTTCTGAACTTCGTTTGAGCAGCACTGTAACTGGAGATCAAGATTTTGACAGAGAAAATCAGCCACTAAATATTTCAAATAATTTATGTTTTTTAGAGGGGAAGCATTTGAGGTCTTATAGTCCCCAAAATGCTTTTCAGACCCTTTCTCAGAGCTATATAACTACTTCTAAAGAATGTTCAATTCAGTCCTGTCTCTACCAGTTTACATCTATGGAATTACTAATGGGGAATAATAAGCTTCTATGTGAGAATTGTACTAAAAACAAACAGAAGTACCAAGAAGAAACCAGTTTTGCAGGTAATTATTTTTTTAATTACATAATTATTGATCTCCTGATAGTGTCTAGTGAGTTACAAATTTCACTGAGAATTTTACTGAGAATCTTGTCCCTATACTTGTGTTACTTAGGCAGAGATTGTTTCATTCATATTTGTACCTGAGCGCTTACAATACTGGGCAGAACAGATTTTCAAGTTTTTTTATTTAAATAAAGAGCAGGAAGTATACAACTCTGCCTTGAAAATGCAAACCCATATAATCTTATTTGAGGGAACTACCTATCTGAAATCTATCCAGAAGAAATATCCCTACAACTTTTTTTTTTTTTTTTGGAGATGGAGTCTCACTCTGTTGCCCAGGCTGGAGTACAGTGGCGCGATCTCGGCTCACTGCAACCTCCACCTCCTGAGTTCAAGCGATTATTCTGCCTCAGCCTCCTGAGTAGCTGAGATTACAGGCGCCCACCACCATGCCCAGCTAATTTTTGTATTTTTAGTAGAGATGGGGTTTCACCATCTTGGCCAGGCTGGTCTTGAATGCCTGACCTCATGATCCACCCGCCTTGGCCTCCCAAAGTGCTGAGATTACAGGTGTGAGCCACCATGCCTGGCCTCCCTAAAACTTCTAATTGTATCACTGGTAAGATAAATGATAAAGCTAATGTGTTTCACAGATCCTATCAATCTGTTGTAAACTCAACGTAAGATAAATTTTGAAGATTTTAAATAGTAGCATGTCATAAAGCTAGCGCTATAATTACCATGATTAGTTGGTCAGAGAGAAGTGGAGAAAGGGGGAAAATAAGAAATTTTCAGTTCATCTTTATCCTTGAGTAAATGGAAAGAATACTCTGATTCTTAGTGACTACTTGTTTTAAAATGTAGGCTTTATTATTCAGGTACGGTGAGGCTAAAAGATCAGGAGATAATTGCCACTGAAGAAATAGTGTGTTATTCATAGTTCCCAAGAAGTGGGGGCCCACCATGCTGCACAGGACCACACAGGGAAGCACCAGCGTCAGTCAGGAGGTAGGGGAGTGAGGGGAAAACATGGGCAGGAGCCTTTAGTGTGATTTCTAAAGGAAGAAATGGGTAAGGCAGGCTAAGCAGGCTTAGGATTGGCTAGTTTGAATAATATTAGTGGGCTCTGGGATATAGGAGCTGTCTCTAGTTATCAGGTGCCTGGTCCTAGAGTGATTACAGCAAGTGGATAGTGTCCCAGAGTGTAAGAGCCCAGTGAAGGAGGTTGTTGGGGTATGCGCTCTGGGCTCTGGATTGGTTTGCATGTGACAGGCATGCATATGTAAGTTGTTTACTATCTCTAGGAATTAGCCCTGGGAGGGGTTGTCCCTCCAATGTTAACCAGACCCTAGATGTCAAAGCATCAGAATAAAGACATACTTAATACACTAGTAATAAAGAAATGGGAGAAGGAAGAAATACCTATATGCAATTGGCAATGTTCAAATACTAACATAAATCTTAGGAATTTAGAAATTGGGGCTGGGCACAGTGGCTTACACCTGTAATCCCAACACTTTGGGAGGCCAAGGCATGAGGATCGCTTGTAGCCAGGAGTTCAAGACCAGTCTGAGGAACATAGTGAGATCCCATGTCTACAAAAAACGTTTTAAAAATTAGCCAGGTGGGGTGGCATGCACCTGTAGTCCCAGCTACTTGGGAGGCTGAGGTGGGAGGATTGCTTGTGCCTGGGAGGTCAAGGCTACAGTGAGCCATGACCACCTCACTGCACTTCAGCCTGGGTAACAGCAATCTCAAAAGAAAAAAAAAAAATTAGAAATCTAGAAATCTTTTTAAACCCAAATTCTTCAACTACACGTGCTTCTGGTGATTTTTGGCTGGAGGGCATTGACAGAAATTAATTCTAGTCCATCTGCTTTCTACCTTCCAAAATTTTGTTTCGTGTTACCTCTCCTATTCTTTGTTCTTATTAACTGTGTGCCTTAAAAAAAATTCCTTTACTTTCATTTTAGCAGAGTTTTAGGAAGGAGTAAAGACTGTCCTTTCATCAGAAGTCCAATTTCTTTAACATTTTTAAAAATGTGGTATGATACTTCTGTATAAATTTTTATTATATGGTAGATAATGTATAAAATGGAATTTTATAAATAAATTTATTGTATTTTATGTAGAAAAGAAAGTAGAAGGAGTTTATACTAATGCCAGGAAGCAATTGCTCATTTCTGCTGTTCCAGCTGTCCTAATTCTCCACCTGAAAAGATTTCATCAGGTAAGTTTCTTCAGTAGCACCATAATTTTCATCATGTGTTTTACAGAGCATTAAGTCCTATAGAATATTGTCAAGAATTAGACAATAACCAGTAACTTATTGCATTTTAAAATGTGTCATGTGAGATTTACTGCTCATCTAGCCATAATAGTTTATAAGACTTTCCTGATTAAAATTGTTTAATTCACAATATTTGAAAATTTAGGCAGCAGGAACCTAAATGGTATCTCTGTGTGTGTTTGTGTGGTAATAGAAAATAAGTTTTGTGGCTGGGCACGGTGGCTCCCTCGGCCTTTGGGAGGCTGAGGTGGGCAGATCACCTGAGGTCAGGAGTTCGAGACCAGATGGAAATAAGAGTCTTGCTCTGTCACCCAGGCTGGAGTGCAGTGGCACAATCTCAGCTCACTGCAACCTCCACTTCCCGGGTTTAAGCAATTCTCCTGCCTCAGCCTCCCAAATAGCTGGGATTACAAGTGCCCACCACCACACTGGCTAATATTTGTATTTTTAGTAGAAATAGGATTTCACCATGTTGGCCAGGCTGGTTTCGAACTCCTGACCTCAAGTGATCCACCTGCCTGGGCCTCCCAAAGTGCTGGGATTACAGGCATGAGCCACCACACCCAGCCCATACAATTTTCAAATAAAAATCTTAATTGTATAAAACAAATTATCAAGAAAACAAGGAGAAAACTTAAATAATTTTTTTGGGAGGGTAGAGGAGAGAATCTCCCTCTGTTGCCAGGCTGGAGTACAGTGGCACAATCTCGGCTCCCTGCAACCTCCAACTCCTGGGTTCAAGCGATTCTCCTGCTTCAGCCTCCCAAGTAGCTGAGATTACAGGTGTGTGCCACCACACCTAGCTAATTTTTGTATTTTTAGTAGAGATGGGGTTTCACCATGTCGGCCAGGCTGGTCTTAAACTCCTGACCTCAGGTGATCCGCCCACCTCGGCCTCCCAAAGTGCTGGGATTTTAGGCGTGAGCCACTGCACCTGGCCCTTAAATGAATATTTAACTTGACCTCTGTGTGAAAGACTTTCTAAATATAAAACCTTAAGAAGGAAATCTCAAGGAAAACTATTGATAGTTTACATATTTGCAACATTTTAGGTGGGATCCAGATGTGCGAGAGGAGATTTTTCTCCATCCTGCCATCCCTATCCACAGATTAGATTAAGTTCTGAATTCTTCCATAGCCAAGGTTGTAGAAGCTCAATGGAACTGAAATGACACAGAGAACAGAAGCAGATGTATTATGTCTTGTCATATCAGAGCGCCTAATGGAAAGGGTACATCTGCAGTGATTCTGTGTGAATAAGAGAGGATAATGCCAGATTGCAGAAGCTAATTTCATGATGCACCGCAGTTATTTTATATTTGGTACTTGCATCCCTGTTTAGAAACAACTTACAGAAATAATTCTTGCCCTTAAAGGGAAATATTTATGGACATCCATCTAGGTCCCTTTTTCTCTCAAGCTAAATGTAATGTCAGCAAAGCCACATTCTTATTCCCAGGGTTTGGGCATTGTAGGGAGCAGAGTCCCTAAGCAATGCCTGTGTTTCTAGTTCATTGACATCCCTGAACGCCTTCTCTATGGTAGCTTTAGGGCTGTATATCAGAAACATCCACAACACTTAAATGCAAATCTGAAACTGAATAGAGATCTTTGTCATAAATATGCCAAAATTTTAATATTGTAAGTATATAAAGAGTCTTAAAGATCAATAAGAAAAATATCAGACCCTAATAGTAAAATGGGAAAAGAATATCAACTGACATTTCTAGAAGTACAAAGTCCAGGCAAGTATGAAAAAGGTCCATCCTTCCCAGCAAAAGAAAGGCAAAATAAAATGGCAGATTCTTTTTTCAACCTGTCCAAATTAGCAAAGATGTAGTAGTGTTGATAAGGATGAACTGAGATAGAGACATTTTCATTTACCAGCATTGGGAGTGTAAGTTGGTAACACCTGCTAGAAAGCAATTTAGTAATGAATATGAAGAACATTGAGTAATTTTTTTTTTTTTTGGAGATGGAGTTTCGCTTTTGTCGCCCAGGCTGGAGTGCAATGGCGCGATCTCGGCTCACTGCAACCTCCGCCTCCTGGGTTCAAGTGATTCTCCTGCCTCAGCCTCCTGAATAGCTGAGATTACAGGCACCCACCACCACACCTGGCTAATTTTTGTATTTTTAGTAGAGACAGGGTTTTACCATGTCAGTCAGGCTGGTCTTGAACTCCTGACCTCAGGTGATCCACCCACCTCGGCCTCCCAAAGTGCTTGGATTACAGGCATGAGCCACCGTGCCCGGCCGAGTAATGTTTTAAACAAAACAATTTTTGAACAAAGCTAATTACTCTTGACTAAGAATCTACCACAAGGAAATAGATATACACAAAAATTTGTGTGTGCCCCACTCAGATCATGCCAGACGTAAGGCCTAGCTTAAATGTCCAATGTGCAGGATATCAAATTTATATTTTAATATGGAAAATGCAGTGTATCATTTCATTAAAGGGAAAAAGGCAGGAGACTGTATATGCAAATATAAGTCTAGATATTTTCCAAAAATTACCACCTAAAAAAAGATTCATCTTATATTAAAGTCCTTCACACAGTCTCTTGTATGATGGGGTAGTTTCTCAACAGCAAAGTACTGATTGAGGAGAACACAATAGCTGAAATGATCTCAGACAGTGCTGGTATTGGGTGCTTATAGAGGTCACCTGATGAAAAAGGCAAAGAAATTGAATGTAGATTAAATATTCCTGGGATATGATGTCATAATTTCATGTCAGCTATTTTCAAGCCTTCTAAAGATCACTTGAAAAAACAAATCAGTAGGTGAATACACTTCGGCAAAAAAAAAGGGTTTTTTGTTTTTAAAGAAAGATAAGCCATAAAAAAGCAACAGATCTACAGTAAACTTGTGATTAGTATGCAAATGAAAGATCAGTCATTGACGTCATGACAGGTTGCCCCTTTTCGTTTTTGTCTACCCATTCATTTCAGATTTAGGTATCTTTTCATTCCAACAGAGTCCATTTCTATTTATGGGTCTCCTCAATACCTTTGATATTTTATTAGCTAGTTTTTATTACCATTACATAATGCAAAGCATATACTTTTTAAGGTTTGCCTTTGAAAATTAGAAAAAGAGAGCATATTTAAGAACATAAAAGTACAATTTTATTGATGTAATATATAGCATTTACTTTTACTGATAAAATGTTTTGAGTGTTCAGGTTGTTTGTTTTAATGAATGAATATAATTGAATTTTAGAACTGAAAAGGACCTAATCTCATCCTTTTATATATGGAATCAAGTTGACAACCAGTCACTGAGTTAGGCCTAGAACACCAATCTGTTTACTCTTTAGTTGAATATATTTTCATGATAGCATATGTGTCAGTAGCTTAGCTTTTATATTGAATTTATTTTTCCATAAGTGTTGAAAAGCCATAATGAAAGTAACTATTCCCCCTATTGTTTGTGGTAAAAATCCCCATGTAAATGAATAATCTTTGCAGTAACAATTTATGAAACCTAATTTTTAATTTATTCATATTAATTTTAGACTATACATTAGTCACATTTTTTATCTATGAAAAAACTAAGTCCTACAATTTCTCTTTTGGTTTTAGTTAACAAAGACAATGCTTTATTTCTAATTGTTGCATTTCAAAAATGTTTTGGTCTTTTTAAGGCTGGCTTGAGTCTTCGTAAAGTAAACAGACATGTAGATTTTCCACTTATGCTCGATTTAGCACCATTCTGCTCTGCTACTTGTAAGGTACAGTATATTAAGATATTTAATTGATTTATAAATTAATATGCTTGAAAGTATCCTATATATTATTAGACAATGCTTTTTCTAAAAAAATAACTTCTCTTCTGAAAGGGAATTTTAATAGCCAGTGATTAAGTCAGTAATATGTGGAACACTTAATACATTGAATATGATTTTTGTCCTTTGGGAGACAAAGGAAAATTGAAAAGGTAAGGCATGAGGCATGATGGTTATGAAGGTCTAAGCTGTTTGTAAGTGCTACTGGAAGCTGATGGTTGCTGAGAGAAGGAGGTTTTGTGTCCTCGATTGTTCCTTGTGAACTGTTTAATCAGTAGTAGTTTTACCATTTGCGGAGTTCTGTATCTTTTGCAAATCAGTGTAGAAGTGAATTGTCTTTCGTGCCACTTCATGTGTACTACTGAGAGTGGTGTACTTGTCAGCGGAGTGTGATACTTCAAAACTGCTGCTACTTTAATAATTAGGTACAGAAAGCAGACTGGCTTATCATTGCTTATTTTACATGTAAGAATTGTGTAGATGAAGTAGATGACTTGGTCTTCCTTGAAGGAAGCAGTTATGGGGTAACATACTGTCCTGTTCATGATTACTGGCTAGAAGTCTAGATTTTGTAGTATGTAATAGAATGCTTATTGAACTTAATACTTTCAGCACATTGATAATCAAAACAAAATCATCTTAAATGCAATTTTTGGTTGAATTACAGTGTATCTGCTGTGGAATACCAGCACTATCTGTCAATTGTTAATACTCAGTATTCCTAGAATTTAATAATGTGGTAAATAATAATGAAATTTAACAATCTTTGTGTTAAACTTATGAAAACATATTTTTAAAAAGTACCTATTACGGAGAATTTCCAATAAACACAAAAGCAAATAGAACAGTACCATGAACTTCCAGCACCCAGCCCTAAAACCTTACATCCATGGCCAGTCCTGCCCTATCCACACACTAATTCACTTTCTTCTCCTTTATTATTTTGAAGCAAACATCAGGAATCATTTCACCCATAATATTTCACTATGTATCTCTAACAGATAAGAATTGCTCCCTCTACACTTTTTAACATAACCACAATATCATTTAATAATTCTGTCATATCACCTAGTGTTCATATTTTCAATTGTCTCATAAATGTGATTTTTAAAATCAATTATTATCCAGATAAGGACTGGATCTATTGTTCATTTGTGCAATTTTTAATTTTCACTTTTTGGAATTTCTTTTAAAATTTAATTTTGTTTAATAATTACATAACATATTTATATAGGTCCAAAGTCAAATGTACCTAAATAAGGTAAATTGAAAGATATCTGGCTTTTCTCCATGACATTCTACCTGTTTGCTCCTTCCCCTTATAGGTAACCATTTTAAAAATTATGGCTTATTCTTTTATAATTTTTTTTAAATATAAGCAGACAGGCATGTATATTTTCATCTCCCCTCTTAAATAATGGTAGCTGACACTGTGTATCCTTTTTTCTGCCTTACTCTTAACATTATATCCTACAGCTTATTCCATAGCACCATTTAGAGATAGTCTACACTCCATTTTTCAAGCAGCATAATACTCTATTGTGTGGATGCATCATAGTTTATTCAACCAGTCCCCAATTTATAGACATTTTAATTCGTGTTTTGATATTACAGATAATCCTGCAATTAATAGTGTGGTACATGTCTTTTGACATTTTGCTCATGTATTTGTGGGATCAAATCCTAGAAAAAGGATTAATGAATCCAAGAGTAATACATACAGAACTTAGCCTGATAACATGAAATATCCCTGCATAGGCCAGGCTCAGTGGCTTACGCCTGTAATCCCAGCGCTTTGGGAGGCCAAGGCAGGTGGATCACCTGAGGTCAAGAGTTTGAGACCAGCCTGTCCAACAAGGTAAAACCCTGTTTCTACTAAAAATACAAAAATTAGCTGGGCGTGGTGACAGACCCCTGTAATCCCAGCTACTTGGGAACGTGAGGCAGGAGAATTTCTTGAACCTGGGTGGCGGAGGTTGCAGTGAGCCGAGATCACACCATTGCACTCCAGCCTGGGTAACAGAGCGAGACTCCATCTCAAGAAAAAGAGAGAGAGAAAAAAAGAAACATCCCTGCATAGGGATTGTACCCTTTGCATTCCCATGTGCAATATGTGTGAGTGCTCTTTTCCCCACAAATCAGCCAACAGAGAACCTTGTTAAGGTTTTTCCATTTTGCCAGCCTAGTAAGTATGGAAAGTATCTCAGTTTTACTATGCATTTTTCTTATGTTAAGCAGATATACATTTACTTACTTTTCCTTAAAACAGTATTTAACAAATATTACTAATTTGGGTTTTTTTCTTTGTTTAAAAGAATGCAAGTGTGGGAGATAAAGTTCTCTACGGTCTCTATGGCATAGTGGAACATAGTGGCTCGATGAGAGAAGGCCACTACACTGCTTATGTGAAAGTGAGAACACCCTCCAGGAAATTATCGGAACATAACACTAAAAAGAAAAATGTGCCTGGTATGCCATCCTAAGTTTATTTTATTCTTAAAAACAAACGAATATGTGCTTCCTTTTCTGGGAGAGCTAAGTTATTATTTCATAGATGCCTCTAGTGGATTTGCTTGCTTGCTTTATTTTAACTTAATTGATTGATTGATTGATTGATTGAGACAGAGTCTCAGTCATCCAAGCTGGAGTGCAGTGGCACGATCTTGGCTCACTGCAACCTCTGTCTCCTGGGTTCAAGTGATTCTTATGCCTCAGCCTCCTGAATAGCTGAGATTACAGGCACGTGCTACCACACGTGACTAATTTTTTATATTTTTAGTAGAGACGGGGTTTCGCCGTGTTGGCCAGGCTGGCCTCAAACTCCTGACCTCAAGTGATTTGCCCGCCTCGGCCTCCCAAAGTGCTGGGATTACAGGTGTGAGCCACCATGCCCAGCCTCAACTGGATTCACCTTAAGAATTCCCTCTAGGAGTGCCTAGAAAATCTCAAATATTATGAAGACTGTACCCTTCTAGGTCATATGAGATGACATGGTATTTTAAGGTACTGAGTCATTGTGTATTATAGTGGAGTAGCATTTTATTTAACAATACCAAAAGTTTTTGAAGCCATATCAGATTGTCAGAAGAGTTGGAGTTGAAAATTTGCTGGCTTTGTTTATGGGTCATCCAACTAACTTTGCTTTTTTTGTTTGTTTTTGAAATGAGGTCTCACTTTGTCACCCAGGCTGGATTGCAGTGGCAGGATCTCGGCTCACTGCAACCTCTGCCTTCCGGGTTCAAGCGATTCTCCTGCCTCAGCCTCCCAAGTACCTGGGACTCCAGGCGCCTGCCACCACACCCGGCTAATGTCTGTTGTTTTTTAAATTAGAGACGGGGTTTCACCATGTTGGCTGGGTTGGTCTCAAACTCCTGACCTCAAGTGATCCACCCACCTCAGCCTCCCCAAGTGCTGAGATTACAGGCATGAGCCACTGCGCTGGGCCAGACAGCATTATTAATTATACCTATAATATTAATGCTTTGAAAGAATTTGTTCTAATGAGTACACATGGACACAGGGAGGGGAACATCACACACTGGGCCTGTCGGGGGAGGGGGGCTAGGGGAGGGATAGCATTAGGAGAAATACGTAATGTAGATGACAGGTTGATGGGTGCAGCAAACCACCATGGCACATGTATACCTATGTAACAAACCACATTCTACACAGATATTCCAGAACTTAAAAATATAATTTAAAAAAAAAAAAGTTCTTTTTGGAAAATGCTTAACCCAAGAAAAAACAGGCTTCTCAGGTAAAATTTGGCATTAGATAGAGTTTGTAATGAATATGTTATTGTTTGTAATTTAGAGTAAGAACCTAAAGCATACTTACTTTAAAATTGTACTTCTTTTTGTTTTGCTAGGTTTGAAAGCGGCTGATAATGAATCAGCAGGCCAGTGGGTCCATGTTAGTGACACTTACTTACAGGTGGTTCCAGAATCAAGAGCACTTAGTGCACAAGCCTACCTTCTTTTCTATGAAAGAGTATTATAACTATTAATGGTAATGATTATTTAGGTCATTTGTTTTTGAATGCCACAGTGATAACTATAATATATAATGTGCCTTTCTAGTCTTCCCTCTTCTGTAGGAATAGCATGTTCCTCAAATGGTCCTGAACTTTTTCACCATTTTGGTGAACCCTTTTAAAGTAAATTTACTCAATGCTTTAAAATTCATAGTCTTAAAATAAATGTGAATTTTGTTTCCAGGTATTTATTCTGGGGTACAAAAACTTCCCAGAATTTACAGTAGGAAAGGAAACCCCTTTATGATGTGGCTTATTATTACAAGCATTCAGAAATGATGCTGGCTAAGTCAAATCATTCCTTGAGACAGTGATTCCTAAATGTAATGCCACCTTCCTGAACTCTCACATATTCTATATCATGGTTATTTTAAAAAATATATTTTTAGCCTTTTGTAACCTTAGTCTTGTTTTGAGCAATCATATTCCGTGTTTTATGTGCTTTTATATTTTTATAATAAATATTAAAGTAAAACTATTAAAAATTGTTTATCCACGTACCACTTAACTTAAAATCATCTCAGGGCCATCTAGTGGTATATATGTGTACTACCATTTAGGAAACTGCTATAACACATAATTTCATGAAGTAACACCTAATACGGTGTAGTTCCCTGGTCATATTTTATACAATTCAACCATATAAAAGGGTGTCACTGTAATTTCAGTAGTGTGGGTTTACAAATAATCTGCTGGTTAGCTTATTACCTTGAGGTTTTGAAAAACTAGAATTATATTGAGGCATTTCATAAACATATCTCTTGCACCCTCTTCATGGTGGAGTTAAGGATAACTTGCAGGTGGTTGGCCAAGGCCCAATATAGATGATTATAACATTTAGAATTGGCAATTAGAAGTTGATAATCCATATAGGACCATAGGATAGCTTTGAAATATAAATTACCAAATTATATTTGTAAATGATAGAGAATTATATTCTTAACAGAAAAATATATACTTTTTCTACTTCTTGTAAATACTAAACACAGTTTTGGGGTTTTGAAATCACTTTGTCTTCAGCAAGCATCATTAATAAGTTCAGGTGAATTTAGCTTTTAATGGGGCATTAAGCTGGCATTTTTGATTTTCTTTTTAAATAATAGCAAAAATATCATTTTTCCCCTCTAGAATACAAATTATTGAGCTGTCAAAACTTGGCATGAAGAATATACTATTACTTAGGCTTAAATATCAAAAGATAATGGCTACTTCAGTGTCATATTGTTGAAATAGAAACAAAACTGCATGGTTCAAGCATCCTAATCATTAGTGCCAATGAATGATAGTGCAGGCAAGTGCCAGGTAAATGCCTAGTCCCACTTCATTCTCCTCCTGGGAAGAAAGGATAAGAATAGTGGCTGCAGATAAGGTATGGAAATATTTAATCAAGACTGTCTTAAACACATAAGCATATATAATGTTATCAAGGTTACCAGTGCTGCCTTTTGATATATGGATGAACATAACTGTAATTAAAGACGGTAATAGTATACAAAATGCAGAGCTTAAAAATGTCATTGCATAAATTCTATTTTTAAGATGTTGAAATGTTAGTAGTGTTTTTCTTGATTTTTAACAGTGAAATAATCAAGAAATATATCTTTAAGTTAATCTGCAAAGTCAGGCTGTGTTCTGTAAAAGGTATTTCACAGCATTTTCTGTTTAACTGTAATCTGTTATCATGGAGATCTCAGTACCAGAGCAGTGAATTTTTTGAAAAATATTGACTGTCTTTATTCAAGTCAGCCATCTTGGTAAGAGCAGTTTTCATCCCCCCACTGCCCAAATGTAAATATAGATCACCTAATTTTTCTTACAGAAAGATACTGTTAAGAGGCATGCACTTTTCATCGGATGGTCACTTGTTTCTTGTTTCAAAGACAAATATTTGGATAGATACCCATACTTGCTATGAGTCAGTCACAGTGCTGACACTATTTTAACATCATTTAAAATGGAAAGATCTACATAGATTTTTGACATTATTCCAGAAGTAACATGCAAGTAAGATATTTTTATTGTCATTTTCTTCATGTTAAAGGAGCTACTTATGAAACCTATTTTTTTATGGCCTAGAGTTTATGAGTGCTTTTTCCTTGTCTTCTGAAAATGGAATAAATTGGATTTTTGATACTTAAGAATTTCCTAAAGATAGCTTTTGTAACAGAGAAAGCATGTTAAATTACACATGGGTCTACCTTAAAATTTTTGTTATTATTTCCAAAGCACATTTGCAGGGATAGTAAATGTATATAGTAGCAAGTCTACTATAATAACAGTAGTTTCTGGATCACCTCAGGAAACAGTATAAATAAATAATAATGTTTACTTATCATCAACATAACTACCATAGTGTTTGAATGAATTAAAGTTTCATTAGCTTTATTTAGAAACTGGTTTACCCCAGCTTCCCGTTTTTTTCCAAATATAAAATGATAAAATATTGATTATGTGCCAATATTGTCATTTAATGTTCTTAAAACTTGTGAAGACCACCTTTTTAGGTAGCTGAGAAGAGTGATAGTTGGTATCAATTTGTTAGCCAGGCATGGTGGCTCATGCTGTTGGGAGGCTGAGTGGGGAAGATGCTTGAGCCCAGGAGGTCAAGGTGCAGTGAACCATGATCACACCACTGCATTCCTGCAGAGTGACGGAGTGAGACCCTGTCTCAAAAATAAATAAAAAGAAGACAGTTGGTATCAATTCAAAGAATAGTTGATGCCTGTTCTCTTATTTTAAATGTACCAACAGAGCTATTTTACTGTATTTAATAGTTCTTAGCTTCCATGTGTGATGATTTTAATCAGTGATTTTATGCAATAGCTGAAGAAAATTTTCTGAAGATTAAGCTGTGAAATGTATCAACCCTCATCTAATTTTTGTAGTACAAAATGACATCCTGATTCCTTTTAAAAATTCACGTTTGTAATTTATTTTTCTGCATGTATTGATCAAATAAGCCTAAACCAAATATGTGCAATAAAATTGAGCCTTTAGATAGTATCTAGTGCATTGTTAAAAAAGATTATTTCTAGATATTTATGATGTTTTTGTTTACGTAGAAATCATGAATTCAAATGTTTAAAAGATGACCATATTTTCAATTTTGAGTAATACATATTATTCCTACTGTTTTTTTTCTTTTGCCATGTTTCTAGAAAACAGCTGTGTAACTTATTGAGCGTTATTTTGGTGTTACTGTATAAAACATGCATAATAAATATTCTTATTTATCTCATGTTACAAGATTGGTCCTGGAATTTTCACAGTTTACGTTATTGACAGAATGTTTTATCAACAATGCATTTGCTTATGTCTTAGTCCACTCAGGCTGCTATAATAAAATACCATCAACTATGTGGTGTATTAACAAAAATTTATTTCTCACAGTTCTGGGAGCTGGGAACTTCAAGATCAAGGTGCCAGCAGACTTGGGGTCTGGTGAGGGCCCACTTCTGTTCATAAAGACAGTGCTTTCTTGCTGTGTCCTCACATGGGAAAAGTACAAGGCATCTCTGTGGGTCCTTTTCCATGCAGCCCATTCATGAGGGTTCCATCCTCATGACCTAATCACTTCTCAAAGGCCCTATCTCCAAATACCATCACATTTGGGATTTGTGAATGTTGTAGGGGACGTAAACCTTCAGTTCATAGCAGCTTTCTCAGCTATATTCAAAATACCCTACATATTTTAGAAATTCTCTATTTCAAAACAGTTTATGGGCCACTTTACCTCAGATTTCAGTATCTACCAAGGACGATCATCTTCCTTTCAGGGGTTTCTTAAAAGGTGTATTACTTAGACAGGATAATTATTAAGACAAGGGTAAGGTCTTGCACCAGCAATTAAGAAATACTTTGCCTACCCATTTGTGTCTAAACTTCTTCCAGATCATGAAGCTCTTTGAGATTATGATGAAAGTTAGAGACTATCTTTTATTTGTTTAGTCATTTAGTAAGTATTTTTTAGGCCAGGCACAGTGGCTCATGCCTGTAATCCCAGCACTTTGGGTGGCCAAAGTGGGCAAATCACCTGAGACCAGGAGTTCGAGACCAGCCTGGCCAACATGACAAAAACCCATCTCTACTAAAAATACAAAAATTAGCTGGGCATGGTGGCACAGGCCTGTAATCCCTGCTACTTGGGAGGCTGAGGCAGGAGAATCGCTTGAACCCGGGAGGCAGAGGTTGCACTGAGCCAAGATAGTACCACTGCACTCCAGCCTGGGTGACAGAGACTGTCTCAAAAAAAAAAAAGTATTTGTTGAATACCTGTTGTGTGGTAGGTACTAGGGATACAGCAGTCAACATAAGAGCCAGAAATCTAAAAGGTGAGGAAATACACATTCTAAGAATGTAAGGAAAATTTATGTCAATGGTAATGATATGGAGAAAAATCAAGCAATATGGACTCCCTATGAAGTCATGCAGAAATTAAGGTACAGGGGATGAAGATATCCTAGAGATAAAAGGCATGGTGATATTAGTACTGATATTCCTGAAAGAGAAAGCTGAGTGTTGTAGGAAGGATGGGGTTTTAATTCTGGGGCCCTCTCTTCTGGCAATATAGAGACGGAGAAGGGAAGTCTTAACATCTGTATGTTCCCAGAAAAATGTATCTCCCTAATTCTTGTATGTAATTTTGAAGGTTCATGGACACTTCTGAAGCCATTTCATACGTATTTTAAATTGCACCCAAGAAGAAATATCTGAGATGTTTGCATTCCCATATGTATTAGGATAGGCTGAGTTGTGCTGCAGTACAACCCCAAATCCCAACTCTTAAGGGACCGGGGCCAAAAGTCCCATCAAGGTAAAGTTTTATCCTCCAAGACCAGGCTCTCTGGAAGTGCTATATCAGATTTGGATGTTTGCTCCTACTGTTCTGGAGACCCAGGAACCAAAAGGATATCTTCTGTTTTCCACATACTTAATGTACAGTGGTGGAACTGTATCTGCAACAAACATTCTGAATGGGGAAGAAGAATGGGAGATACAGTTAGGATCCCTAAGTCTAGGTATGGGGTATATTCATGATTAGGGTTCTTTTCTATCTCCTAGGAAGAATTCCCTTGTATATTGTTCTCCGTGACTCTAGAGTCCAACCTCTGGGAAAGTTTTGTTGTTGTTTTTTTTTTTTTTTTTTAATCTTCATGGCTACATCTGAACAGCTACTGAGGGATATATATGCCAACTTTGGGAGTTGCACAGCTTTTTTGAGACCATTTCTTAGATGACTAGGGACTGTAATTTCTCTTAATTTGGAATAGCCACAAGTTGTTGTAGCCAAGGTTTGTGTGTGTTTTTAATACAATTCTTAAAATTTTAGTAGGCTTCTCATCTGTAGATAGATTTGAAGGGGTGGGTTGCCCCTCCACACCTGTGGGTGTTTCTCGTAAGGTGGGACGAGAGACTTAGGAAAGAAAAAGACACAGAGACAAAGAAATAAGGGGACCCGGGGAACCAGCATTCAGCATATGGAGGATCCCGCCAGCCTCTGAGTTCCCTTAGTATTTATTCATCATTCGTGGGTGTTTCTCCGAGAGGGGGATGTGTCAGGGTCACAAGACAATTGTGGGGAGAGGGTCAGCAGACAAACACGTGAACAAAGGTCTTTGCATCATAGACAAGGTAAAGGATTAAGTGCTGTGCTTTTAGATATGCATACACGTAAACATCTCAATGCTTTACAAAGCAGTATTGCTGCCCACATGTCCCACCTCCAGCCCTAAGGCGGTTTTTCCCTATCTCAGTAGATAGAACGTACAATCGGGTTTTATACTGAGACATTCCATTGCCCAGGGACGGGCAGGAGACAGATGCCTTCCTCTTGTCTCAACTGCAAGAGGCATGCCTTCCTCTTATACTAATCCTCCTCAGCACAGACCCTTTACGGGTGTCGGGCTGGGGGACGGTCAGGTCTTTCCCCTCCCACGAGGCCATATTTCAGACTATCACATGGGGAGAAACCTTGGACAATACCTGGCTTTCCTAGGCAGAGGTCCCTGCGGCCTTCCGCAGTTTTTGTGTCCCTGGGTACTTGAGATTAGGGAGTGGTGATGACTCTTAAGGAGCGTGCTGCCTTCAAGCATCTGTTTAACAAAGCACATCTTGCACCGCCCTTAATCCATTTAACTCTGAGTTGACACAGCACATGTTTCAGAGAGCACGGGGTTGGGGGTAAGGTTATGGATTAACAGAATCTCAAGGCAGAATAATTTTTCTTAGTACAGAACAAAATGGAGTCTCCCATGTCTTCTACTTTCTACACAGACACAGTGACAATCTGATCTCTCTTGCTTTTCCCCACAAGTTTGAATCACAAAAGATTTTAGGTAAGAACAGGCAGTCATTGAACATAAGTTTACCTTACTTTCTCCAACCTGGCCTAAATGGACAATACCTGCATAAAGCCCAATGGGATCTATTGTTAAATAACTAAAGTATTATTTTATACCCTCGTATTTCATTATGCCAGATTCACTACTATCTAGGAAATGCTTAAGTAACTATATTAAGAATCAAAGAGTAGGCTGGGTGCGGTGGCTCACACCTGTAATCCCAGCACTTTGAGAGGCTGAAGTGGGCAGATCATGAGGTCAAGAGATCGAGACCATCCTGGCCAACATGGTGAAACTCTTTCTCTACTAAAAATACAAAAATTAGCGGGGCGTGGTGGCATGCGCCTATAGTCCCAGCTACTTGGGAGGCTGAGGCAGGAGAATCGCTTGAACCCAGGAGGCAGAGGTTGCAGTGAGCCAAGATCACGCCACTGCACTCCAGCCTGGCAACAGAGTGAGACTCCATCTCAAAAAAAAAAAAAAAAAAAGTTGTAATTTGTAATGATGTGCCTGTAGCATACTAGCTTTAAATATTTTTCATCCTCCATTGTATTATGTGGTAAAATATATACAACATAAAATTTACCACTTTAACCATTTTTAGGTGTATAATTAGGGTCATTAAGTGCATTCACATTTCCAGAATTCTTTCATCATCCCAAACGGAAACTCTGTACCCATTAAACAGTAACTTCTCATTCCCGCCTTCTCCCAACTCCTGGGAACCTCTATTCTACTCTCCATCTGTGTGAATTTGCCCATTCTAGGCGCTTCATATAAGTGAAATTGTACAATATATGTCCTTTTGTGTCTGGTTTATTTCATCTTGCATGTTTTCAAGGTTTATCCATATTGTAGCATGTATCAGAATTTCATTCCCTTTTAAGGCTGAATAATATTCAATTGTATATATATACCACAGCTTTAAATTTTTATTAGGTTTTAAGATGGATGTGATATGGCACCTAATAACACTATAAAGGTTCAAATCTCAAGAAACAGCAATAGTTCCTATTTCGATATATTTTCCACATATCATCTTACTTAGCTTATTTCCATTTTGCTTTAAGGATAATTTGTTTCTGTAATAATGGAAGGTGACATGTCCTCCCCTAGAATTTTCTACTTCACTCCATTCATTCATTCATTCATTCATTCATTCATTGAGACAGAGTCTCGCTGTGTAGCACAGGCTGGAATGCAGTGGCACGATCTCGGCTCACTACAACTTCCACCTCCCGGGTTCAAGTGATTCTCATGCATCAGCCTCCTGAGTAGCTGGGCCACCACACCCAGCTAATTTTTGTATTTTTTTGTAGGCAGTTTCCCCATGGTGGCCAGGCTAGTCTCAGACTCCTGGCCTCAGGTGATCCACCCTCCTTGGCCTCCCAAAGTATTGGCATTACAGGCGTGAGCCACATTGGCCAAATTTTCTACTTTAAACACTGAAAACAGAGGAAGTTAATAAAAATTTTAACCTATAAAGTCCCCTGGTTGTTAGTCATTAACAGCAGATTGTCAGATAAGACTGGTAAAATGATGGCTGCTAAGCATTTGATGATCCAGGCGCAGGATGATCAAACTGCAGCAGATCATGCACGTGACAGCTGCTTACATAGAAATTTAACACCACAACACACATTCTTAGAAAATTCTGTGTTGAAATACATACACTTACCTGATGTGTCCATAAGATCATAATGTTACGGGGAACTCTTAGAACAGAGTGGTTAGAGAAAGGGAACTGGAATTGGAACTGTAAAATTCATTTTCTGGTCTGGTAAATAGCAATTGCTGAGGGTGTCTCATTAAACTGGCACAAGGAACAAAATGTGAGGTATTTAATAATCCTCTCCACTTCACAATGCATTTCCAAAATGACTGGCCTACATTAGGATCATTGTTGAACATATTAATGCAAACATATAGCAGATGTAAAAATTTCTGTGTGCAAAGCAGATGCTGGCCACTTGGAGGGCAGAGGTGAGGGGGAAATCCCTTACCCGAAAATTGCCTCACCTTTACTAGGGAAACAAGCAAAGAATTACAATATGATTATAGAGAGTAGGAACATGACAGTTTCACTAGGCCAATCAGGTTTCTCTAAGAAGATAGAACATTCCTCTGATGAGAATGTTTCTCAGAGAATTAAACTTGAAAATCAGACCTGATGCAAAAAACTTGGAAAATGCACAAAATCACAGAGCAAAATTAGAGATTACTGATAACATGTGGTATATGTCCTTCTAGTTTTTGCTCCATACAGTGGTTTTTATTTATTTTATTCTTTTGAGACAGAGACTCACTCTGTTGCCCAGGCTGGAGTGCAGTGGAGGGATCTCGGCTCACTGCGACCTCTGACCCTGAGTTCAAGCAATTCTCCTGCCTCAGCCCCCCTAGTAGCTAGGATTACAGGCGCCTGCCACCACGCCCAGGTAATTTTTGTATTTTTAGTAGAGACGGGGTTTCACCATGTTGGCCAGGCTGGTCTTGAACTCCTGACCTCAAGTGATCTGCCCGCCTCGGCCTCCCAAAGTGCTGGGATTACAGGCGGGAGCCACCAAGCCCGGCCCATACAGTGATTTTTTAAAATCAGACTGTCCAGTAGTCTTATTTGTGCTAAGTGGAAATTAGGGAAAGGGTCAGAGAAATAGGGATTTCCTTTTGCCTTCAGTAGTATCCTCATGAACCTGCGTCATGGTGTTGTTAGGTGTAATTAATGAAGGTTTCTCACAAGATAAAATGTTATTTTGAGGACCACGTCCGTGGATTGGAGGAAAGGCAGATGGTTAGCTAGTGACGACTTTATTATAATGCTAATTCAGGAGTATCTGGGTCTCTAGTGCTGAGGAAAACTGAATTTTCATGCAAAGGGCATCTATATTTTCACATCTGTATCTTTATCCATCTAGCTGTGCTCTTACTATTTTGTTTCTACGGTAATTTGCTATTTCTTTTGCACGACAATTGCCCAATGAAATAATTCAGATACTTCGTGCACTTTGTCACGCAGAAGTTTTCATGTTACTCTCTGGAAAGGCACTTCCCAAGATGTAGCTAATAAACACTGTATCTTTGGAACATTTTTGTTTTCCTTTTAACTTGTAGCTCCTAGCCTGGAAATTGATACTTTTGACACTTGAACGTTGTTCATATAAAAACACTGTGAAATCAACATACTGTCTTTGAGGAATGGCATTGCATGCGTCCTTTTGAGAAGCCATCTTGTAGTTGAAGGAAAGCAGCAGGACGGAAACCAGACTTCCCCCCCACGGTTCCCTAAAAGTCACGGATAAAGAATGAAAAACCGGGACTAGTTAAGCCAAGGAGAGAAGAGCAAGTGTTCCCGGAAGGGGGCGCGATGTGTTGAGGTTAACAAAGAGAAAGACAGCTGCGGGGTCAGCTAAGGTCTCCGCTTTCGCTACCGACCCAGACTGCTCACCTTCACAAACTCACGTTTTCCTCAAGCGGCACCCTCGGCAGCGCTCAAGTGAGAGTATTCCATCCTTGGAATACTCCGAGAAGGTTCGAGCCAGAAGTTGGATTGCCTGAAATGCCGCTTCCAGCGCACTAAGTAACTTGAACTGCGCTAAGCAACTGGCCAGAATTGGTTTGGTTTGGTTTGACCCTGGGGTTCCTCCGTAGTCTGTAAGTGGAGTTGCGAACTCAACCCCTTCTCCAAGGCGGGAGTGTTTCTAGGAGGGAACATACTTCCCCTTAAAGGAAGATCACGTTGCTAAAGTAAAAAATTTGAAGGCGCCCTATGTGTAGAACACTTACGTTCTTGGCTTTCTGGCCACTATAAAGATGGGTCGGGAATGGCGCCAGCTACGTTAAAAAGTAACGTGCAGGAATGGTTCAGTTGCCCGGTGTTGACCAGAGTAGAGATGGTTTTGCCCACAAAAAAAATGGCGCCGAAACATGTCAATCCGCACAATCACGTGTTCACAAACCTGGATGAGAGATGGTATGGCTTCAGATGACAAACGGATGTTATTATTCTTTACTTCCGGGTGAGACAAATCGGGCGCCATCTTGTCTTGTTCCCGAAGAAGTAGAAGCATCGAAAGCGTTGGAGAGGTGTTACCGGAACGGCGGCGACAAGGGTGTTCCCGAACTAGAGTGGGTAAGTGATGGAGAACAATTATACGTGGGCACTTGCCGGACCATTACAACGTTCTTGGTTTCTGTGGCGAAGGTAGCATAACTTAAAATAGGCTGCGTACGCTGCTTGGCGCGACCGCTGGAACCTCATTCCTTTAAAGCGCTGCGGTCCGCCAGACTTGGTAAATCAGAGCGCTGCTTTCGCTGAAAAGGAAATGTCCTTGTTAAAGAGAGTGCTCACGGTCCCATCTTCTCACAGAGTTTCCTCTCGGACGAGAAGGGACTAATTGTTGGGTTCCTGACCGGCCGTTAAACACTGCGCGTGCGCAGTGGGAACCCCCTTGTGGGAAGGGGGTTCATGGGGGCGGAGGAGGCGGGGGCTCGCGACCTGGAGCTTATACCCTTTGAGGCTCTGACTACGCAGGCGCAGTTCCTTAGTTTGTGTTTTTCGTGTGTTCTTACCCAATGATGGATATTATGTGTTAAGCTTCGCTAAAGGTAGTATCCAATATTTCAGTTTTTTACCCTGTGGTGGATAGTATCGTCATCTGAACAAATTGAGCATTAGACAAATTTGTTTGTGGGTTGTTAAATTAACATTCTAGCTTAAGATTTTAATTCAACATTAATCTTTTACATCTTTTTACTTCCCCCTGCCCCCAAGTAAAACAAAATAAACTTAGAATTCCTCATTTGAGTGCAGCAGGGCGAAAACAACAGCAACCAGACTACTAAAGATTTTACTTGTGGAATTTTTTTGTAAAGTGGCAAAGGGCTTATAGAGAAAACAGTTCTTTAAAGATGTTCTTGAGAGTTTTTTTTTTTAACTTACTAATAGACTTTATGTTTTAGAACAGTTTTTGTTTACGTTGAGCACATACGACGTCCCCACTACACACACAGTTTATCTTCTTATTAATAGATGTTAGTATGGTACATTTGTTGCAACTAATGAACCAATAATGATAAATTATTAACTAAGGTCCATAGTTTATTCCTACTTCCTCACATTTTACCTAAAGTCCTTTTTCTGTTCCAGGATGCCAGCTAGGATATCACATTACATTTAGTTGTTGTATATTCTTAGGCTGTATATTCTTGGCTGTGACAGTTTCTCAGGCTTAACTAGTTTTTGATGACTGTTAAGGGCTGACTTGTGCCCCTCTAAAATTCGTATCTTGAAGTCCTAACCTCAGTACCCCAGAACGTGACTGTATTTGGAGAGAGGGTCTTTAAAGAAGATGAGGTCACTAGGGTGGACCTTAGCCCAATATATTAATAACTGCTGTCCTTATAAGAAGAGAGTAGGATACAGAGGGATGATCATGTGAAGACATAGGGAGAAGACAACCATCCACAAGCCAAGGAGAGAGGCCTTAGAATGAAATCAACCCCATAGAGCTTACACTATACGCCTCCAGAACAGTGAGGAAATAAATTTCTGTTGCTTAAGCCACCCAGTCTTTGGTACTTTGTTATGGCAAGCATACCAAACTAATACAGTGACCTTGACATTTTTTGAGGAGTATGGTCAGGTATATTGTAGGGTGCCCTGCTATTGGAATTTGCCAGACGATTTTCTCATGATTAAAATGGCCTTACGGACTATATCAGGGGAAGATCACAGAGGTAAGATGCCCTTTTCAACACATGCTATCAAGGATACATACTATCAAGGTGACTTATCACATTATTACTGACCTTGATCATCCTTCTGGAGTAGCGTTTGTTAGATTTATCCACTGTAAAGTTACTTCCCCCACCCCTTTTTATACTGTTCTCTTTGGAAGGAAGTCACTTTGCAGAGCCCACGCTTACTGAATGGACAGTTGTGCTCTTCCTCAGTTAGGGTGGAATATTTACATAATTTATTTGGAATTCTCTGTGGGAGATTTGTGTCTTCCCTCACATTTATTTGTTAGTTTATTTTATCATATCCTTATGGGCTTGTGGATGTTTATTACATAACTTATATTATAATCCAGTACTTCTTTATTTTGTTGCTCAAATTGTACCAGCTTTGGCCATTGGCAGCTCTTCGAGTTGTCTACTGTTCTCCTTTGACATGTTCCTATCAATTTTTTTTTTTTTAGCACTTTATTGCTTCCTGGCAGTATACATGCCCCAGACTCATCTTTTATATTTCCTGTCGCAGTCCTAGAGTCAGCTATTTCTTTAAAGATCTCTGATTCCTTTTATTGAAGAATGGTATTAAAACCAAGTTCTCGTGCCTAGGTGTGCTTGTTGCTACTAGGGTGTCATTTTGGGCGCTCTCGCTACATTTATTTTTAAATTATTATTGGGGGGGTATTTATAACCGACTCTCCAATTCTCCAGTTTTTTTTTTTTTTTTTTTTTTTGAGACAGAGTGTCACTCTGTTTCCCAGACCGGAGTGCAGTGGTGGCACAATCTTGGCTCATTGCAACCCCTGCCTCCCGGGTTCAAGTGATTCTCCTGCCTCAGCCTGCTAAGTAGCTGGGACTACAGGTATATGCCACCATGCCCAGCTAATTTCTGTATTTTCAGTAGAGTGGAGGTTTCGCCATGTTGGCCAGGCTGGTCTCGAATTCCTGGCCTCAAGTGATGAACCCACCTTGGCCTGCCAAAGTGCTGGGTTTACAGGCATGAGCCGCCATGCTTGTCCTCCACTTTTAAAATAGTCTTTTGAGCTACAAGCTGCAAGTATTTCAGTATATACTAAAATGCATGTCACATAAAGTAGCAAAATTTCTGTTTTCCGTATTTCGAATGATTACAAGATTAATTTTTACCAGTGCCATTTCCACCTAATCTGAATTAAACAAATAAATTCTTTTTTGACTTTGAGGTCAGTCAACTCATGTAAGACTGAAATGTCAGGGGTGAAGAGGATTGTTGTATTTTCTGGCTTCTCAGCTTTGTGGTTGATTTGAGAAATATTTCATCCTATGCATCAAATGATAGATGTGTTTCTGTAGCTCTTTGATTTTGTAGTTGATGCTCAAGGACTTTAAAATACCACATTTTAATTCTCATCCATCTCTGTCACAGTCTCTGAGTGACTTTTGTAAATATTAATGATTGTCATTTTGGCCACACGGGGTGGCTCATGCCTGTAGTCCCAGCACTTTGGGAGGCTGAGGAGGATGGATCATTGAGGCCAGAAGTTTGAGGATAGCCTGGGCAACATGGTGAAACTCCATCCCTACTAAAAAATACAAACATTATCCTCGCGCGGTGGCATGCACCTGTAGTCCCAGCTACTCGGGAGGCTGAGGCATGAGAATTGCTTGAACCTGGGAGGTGGAGGTTGCCGTAAGCCGAGATCACACTGCTGCATTCCAGCCTGGGCGACAGAGTGAGAATTTCTCAATAATAAATAAATGATTGTCATTTAAACAAGTTGTTTTAGGACCTCAAAGCGATGAAGTTCTAATATAGATACATTTAAGAAAAGGATAAAATAGATGATGGCCATTTCTGGTTGTATTAGTTTTCTAGGGATATTGTAGCAAATTACCACAAACTGGCTGATTTCAAACAACAGAAATTTATTCTTCCACAGTTCTGAAGGCTAACAGTGTAAAATTGAGGTTTTGGTAGGGCATGCTCTCTAATGGCTTTGTAGGGGATTCTTGTCTCTTCCTAGCTTTTGGTAGTTCTTGTCAATCCTTGATGTTCCTTGGCTTATAGAGCCATCTACTCCCAATCTGTACCACTGTGGTCATGTTACATTCTCCCTGTAAGTGTCTTATGTCTCCTTTTTAATAAGGTCCCTCCTAATCAAATATGAACTCACTGTAATTTGAATACATCTGCAAAGACCCTATTTACAAATAAGGACATACTCACAAGTATCACTTGATACTCACAAGTATCAGGAGTTAGGACTTCAGTGTATCTGTTGGATGGGGACACAATTCATTCCATAACACTGGTGATAGCTATCACTTGATTTTTTTGCGGCAGTGTGTGGTGGCTTTGATGATCTGATACAAACCTTGGTTATTCATCTTTCTGTTCTTCCCAGACCCCATTTGTTTTCCAAGGAAATAGCAGTTCACTTTACCACATGAAGGGAAATACTGTTAGGAAAGTCTTGCAGCCTTGCCCGTCATTAATCAAATTTCTCCAAACTTGAAAACCCAAGCCTAACAAGCTTTAAAATTAAGTCTAAAGGAAGAGTGAATAAATTGGAATCAATTTTTGATATTATAAAATCACAGTAGCAATATTGGAATGTCATTTTCATGGTTGAACATTAATGTATTTACTTGCTAACATTTCAGTGAATTATAAATATTTAACCACTTAACATGGACAAAACATTATGGAGAATTTAAATTATTATAAAATGTTTTCTCTCCCCTAAAGAAGATTTTTGTTTGAGCCAAGACAAAAACATGAAAATTTAATGCAGACCCTCTATAAAAAGTATTATTGTATGTCATCTTTAACTTATTAAATGAAAGCTTTCAAACAGTGGTAAAGAAGAGGGTAGCAAATGCCCATCCTTAAATTATCAACATTTTCCAAATCATTTTTAAACCAACTTGTAAATGTCATTTTTAATGGTACAACGTTATGTTATTTTGTTAAACCATAGTGAAATTTAAAATATGTATCCATTGATTACTGTGTGTTGTGCCTGTGTATTCCTTCTGTTTTCTAGATTTTGCATTTGTTGGATTTGTTAGTAGTGAAGATACTATGGTGAAGATGAAGGAAGAAAGAGTAGTGTTCCTAAATCCTTGCCATAAAATCACTAGTAATCTTACTGTTTAATTAAACAATAGTTAATGAAACTCCTTATCAAGCATTGTGCTATGTGCTGAAACATATATAAAAGTTTAAGTATTTCCTAGTTTTAAAACAAGTCTTTACTACAATCTGTCTCTTTTCTACAAAATTTTAATGTAAGTGCAAATTTTGTTTTCATGACCAGAGTTACCTGTTTTGGATAAGATTATCAAAATTTACTCTAAATCATATAAGAAAATGAGACAGAGAACATTTGCCCAATGCATGAAAAATGATGCCACTTGAGGCCTTTTCTTTTTAAGAATGCAGTTATGGGCCGGGAGCGATAGCTCACGTCTGTAATCCCAGCACTTTGGGGACTGAGGCGGGAGGATCACGAGGTCAGGAGATTGAGACCATCCTGGCTAACAGGGTGAAACCCTGTCTCCACTAAACTACAAAAAATTAGCCGGGCGTGGTAGCAGGCGCCTGTAGTCCCAGCTACTCGGGAGGCTGAGGCAGGAGAATGGTGTGAGCCTGGGAGGCAGAGCTTGCAGTGAGCCAACATCGCACCACTGCACTCCAGCCTGGGCAACAAAGCGAGACTCCATCTCAAAAAAAAAAAAGAATGCAGTTATGTATAGAAAATTACTAAATTACAAAATCTTCTCAAAACTGCCAAGCTCTAGGAATTGGAAATAGGAATCAGGTATTTTTAATCTTTATTTTATATTTTTCTGTATTCTTTTAATTATTTTATTCTGTCAATGTGTATTTTTAGAAAAAATACAGATTTTTAAAGATACAAAGAATCAAATGAAGCTAATGAACACAGTCCATAATGACTAGTACAGGCAGTACAAATTACACAAACTTCTTCAACTGTGAGACATTGGGCAAATGTCCTCTATCTCATTTTCTTATAGGATTTAGAGTAAATTTTGATAATCTTATCCAAAACAGGTAACTCTGGTCATGAAAATGAAATTTGGACTTATATTAAAATTTTGTAGAAAAGGGACAGATTGTAGTCCCTTTTTTTCGCTTAATGCAGTTTGTACGGTAATACATGCCAGTATGTAGCAGTCTACCTTATTCATTTTAATGGCTGAATAGGAATCAACTGTATGGTTCACTCTAACTTATTTAACTTGCCTTTAATTTAATGTCACTGAAACCAGATGTTTACTGTTACAAAATATGCTGCCAATTTTTGAATTATGGTATGAATATTCACATTCATGGTTTAGGACCCTGCGGTGGAATTGCTGGGTCAGAGGGATGTGCATGTACGTTTTGTTAAGATGCCATAATGGTAAATTGCCCTTTTTTTTTTTTTTTTTTTTTTTTTTTTTTTTTTTTTTGAGACGGAGTCTCGCTCTGGCACCCAGGCTGGTGGAGGGCAGTGGTGCTATCTCAGCTCACTGCGACTTCCACCTCCCGGGTTCAAGCAGTTCTCCTGCCTCAGCCTCCGGAGTAGCTGGGACTACAGGCCAGTGCCACCATGTCCGGCTAATTTTTTTGTATTTTTAATAGAGACGGGTTTCACCGTGTTAGCCAGGCTGGTCCTGAACTCCTGACCTCAGGTAATCCACCTGCCTCAGCCTCCCAAAGTGCTAGGATTACAGGCGTGAGCCACCGTGCCCAGCCAGTAAATTGTCTTTTAAAAAGACTAACCATTTGGTGTTCCACCTGTGCCCTCATCCAGTAGTCATCCTCTGTAACTAAATCAAGTTTCTCAACTCCAGACTTAATTAAAGCGCTTTAATAAATAGCCTCTAACTTCCTTAACTTACCATCACCTTCTTTACTGTATTTTTATTCTGCTCTGTTTTTCCCAATTTCACATCTTTTTTCTATTTTTCTCAGCCTAAGTGTCCCAAACATTATATTACTTGAATAGTAGCTTCCATCAAAACTTTGGGGAAGAAAAGCTTCTAAAAATATAGCAAAAGTAGAAGTGGCTGTTCTAAACATACAGAAAAATGATCATAGGTGATACAAATCAAACCCTTGAAAATATGCAAATTAAAACCTCTGTTCATAGGAAAACTTTTTTTTTTTTTTTTAATAAAAGCTTCAGCTGGGTGCGGTGGTTCACACCTATAATCCCAGCACTTTGGGAGGCTGAGGTGGGTAGATCATTTGGGTCAGAAATTCGAGACCAGCTTGACCTGCATAGTGAAACCCCGTCTCTACTGAAATACAAAAATTAGCCAGGCTTGGTGGCGAGCAGCTGTAATCCCAGCTACTCAGGAGGCTGAGGCAGGAGAATCGCTTGAACCCAGGAGGCAGAGGTTGCAGTGAGCCCAGACTGCACCACTGCACTCCAGCCTGGGCGACAGAGCGAGACTGCCTCTCAAAAAAAATATAATAATAATAATAACAATAAAAGTTTCAACCCATGAAACAGGAAGACAAATTTAGACTAAAGAATTCTTTCAAAGATAAAGTGAAACCTCTGTAAGTTTTAGATTGCTTCTGGAAAAGAAAATGGAGTTGAGCAGAAGTGGGTTGGCTTGATCACTTTTTTTTTTTTTTTTTTTTTGAGATGGTGTTTCGCTCTTGTCGCCCAGGCTAGAGTGCAATGGCACAATCTCGGCTCACTGCAACCTCCGCCTCCCAGATTCAAGCAATTCTCCTGTCTCAGCCTCCCAAGTAGCTGGGATTACAGGAGCCCGCCGCCACGCCCGGCTAATTTTTGTATTTTTTAGTAGAGACGGGGGTTTCACCATGTTGGTCAGGCTGGTCCTGAATGCCTGACCTCAGGTAATCCACCTGCCTTGGCCTCCCAAAGTGCTGGGATTACACACGTGAGCTACCGCGCTCGGCCGATCACCTTTTTTTTAAAACCCCCTAATAGTTGTTAACTTGAAGAGTGCTACCAAAAGTGATGGTGGGAAAGCTCTAGTATTGATATTAATCACCACGAATTGAAACTTCTGATGCTTAGTTTTTATGTGTTTCTTATTTAATCCTCACAATAATCCTTTGGGGTATAGACATTTAGGTCTTCTGTTTTACAGATTGGAAAACCAAGGGTTAGAGCATAATTTACTTATGTTCACACCACTAACGAACGGATGTAGGTAGGCATCCTGAACCAGAGCCTGTGCTCTGAAGTCTAGGTGACAAGTGGTGACCAGAAAACTTAAAAGGGGAACTAAAAAAGTTGTCCATGACAACCATTAAACATGAGTAAGAAAAATAACCTTTATTTAGAGTAATTTCTGGAAAAGTAAATTTATGGATTGGGAATGATGGTAGGTAGTCATTATACATCATTTTCATCATTTAAATGGTTTTAGTAAGTGCACATTTTCAGTTTCAGTAGGCACTTTATAGAGCTGTTGATAATGTCTGTATTATATGAGTTTACAACTTAAGACAGAAAAATTATGCATTGAACTCTGATAAGCTGTTAAAGCGTTGGAAAGCACAGCAAGCTTTTTGGTTCTCATAAGTAGAAGTTAACAGCTTCCTCATCATTAGCCTTTAAACAGAAAGTAATAGCTAGACACTGATTATTTATTTAGTGTCTGCTATGTGCAAGATGCTTTCTTGTACCTTATTGAAGATAAAAGGATGAATAAATTTGTCTTTCTTTCAACTGTAAAAAGCTGTTGATTGAATAAAAAGGAAACTAAACCATTTCAGGAACAAACTGTTCTCTCCTTGCTAATGTTAATTTCTAAACATAGAATTCTATAGGAAAATTTAAATTAATACATTTTATTACCTTGTATCATCTAAGTTAATAATAGGTGGATGAGATCTTCATTTCAAATGTTTGTTGTTCCTTTTTTCTCAATCTCTAAATTGTTTGACATTGTTTTTTATTATGAAGGAATTGTTCAAGTAAATAAAAGATTTGGAAAGAAAAAAAGATGTTAAAAAGCTTTGCCTCTTCATTTCTGGTGTATCTCTTTTCCTTGATTTTATTATGATAAAATAATTCCCCATTATAAAGTTAATGCAAGGAAAAGTGACTAACTTGGAGATGATCACACTTATGTTGCATCTCTAGAATTTATTTTTATGTGAATCATGATAATCTATAAGCAGACATCTACTTTTTTTCCCCCTAGGGCATACATAATCTTGCTGCTATGCTTCGAAGCTGTAGTCTGAATCAACCTAAGTTTTAAACAGAAGGTGAACCTCTGAGGTCAGTTTAAATAGCAGTTGGTGTGTCTTCTTGGTGTTTCCTATTTATTTGTTAACTCTTAATTAAAGTTGTAAGCGAAGTTACTTTTCAAGGGCTCTGATAACCTATTTAGCCTTAAAGGAGTCTAAAGGCGTACTTGGGAAACTGGACAGGACAAAAAGGGGAGGAAGAAGGAAACACTGAACAGAGGTTAGAAAAAAATATATTTAACTTGGAACTGATACCCAAACCAGTTGTTGGCCTCATTTGTGCTATGTAGTGCCTATTTTGCCATATTCTAATAATGTCATTGTAATTGATTACATTAGTGTAACTTGAAGACAGGTACATTTGACTCATAAGTAAATCAAGGTGACAAAGAAATACACCTCCCATAACTCACAGTGTTCTTCATTTGAGGGATTAGTATCTGCCGCAGATAGAACTATACCTGTATGGCATTCTGGGAATGCTGCGAAGACTGGAGTTGGAAACCTTTAAAAGCCTGAATTGTAATCGCCAATTGTCCTATTAGAGTTAATATCTCTATTTTTTTTGTTATCCAACTTGCCTACTTTTTGTGATCCTGCAATACAAAGGCTTGCTTTTATCTTGTTTTTAGCATACAGGAAAGGATCAATCTAGAAGGATTCATTTAGTAAACATTTATTAAATGCCTGCTATGAACTAAGCCTTGGGATACAAAAATAAAGAAGAAACCATGCCCTGGTTATGTGAGTCACTGGTTCTTGAACAGGGTTGTGTATCAGTGTTGGAATAAAGTACAAAGATATTAGACTTGTAAGACTTTTAAACCTTTTATTAGGAATGTTTTCAGACTAGCTTACAGAAAAGTTGGGCTAGTGTGATGATTCCCCCCCATACCATCTCCTAAATTAATAGTTATTAACATAAAGTACCTTCCCTCCCATCTTTTCCATGCTATTTATATGTTAAGAAACCAGGTCTTGGAGGCTGTCTTACTTTCTGGATTTAATACCGTTTATCTCATTTCTTTATCCTTTAAAATTGCTTTATATTGGAAGTAAAATCCAAAAGCTCAGTTGGACTCAGTTAAACATTTTTGATGAGAATTCTTAGTGATTCTGGGAGCATAGTAGACACCTAATAATCTGTAGGGGTGATATTTTGGCAACCTTTGAATTTCTGATTTCTCATCAACTTTTCTTGTAAGGTTTCCTGAATTAATATTTTATTACTTTTGGCAATATGATAGTTTTCTAATTCTGTTCTACATTCTTCATTTTTTTAGCTGTAATTATTTATAAGGAAAAATTTTTCTTCATCTGCTGAAGCTATTTGGTTACTATCTTAAAGGAATCTTGATTGGGGAGAAATGAAATCACTTTTTTCCTACAATCTTCAAAATAATTACATATCCAGAAATTTATATTGTACAAAAAATAGAGTTTTTTTTAAAGTCTTTTTTGAGCTAAATTCATTGTGTTATGCTTGCCACCAAATTCTGAGACCAGCATTAACATAAAATTTTCTACCTCGTTTGGTACCCTAAAAATTCTAGTTGCCTCTGGCAAGCTATTGACAAGAATTTTAGACCTCTGATGAAATAAATGTATCATCATATAATAATTTCTGATGTGAGGTTTTAAGATTAAATAACTCACTATAATTTTTAAACTATGTTTAATTTATTGAAGATAGAAAATCAAGTATATTTTAAAAGAAGGGATGTGGGATCAAGGAGGACAGCCTTGGCAGCAGTGGCCCTTGAACCAGCAACAATGGATGCAGTCATTCCAGCACCAACAGGATCCAAGTAAGGAAACAAATTGAATTTGAAAGGGCGGGGTTGGATATGTGGAAATGGGTAGAAGACACATGATGGGATTAAGGGATATGGAATTGAGATTGGTGTACTGGATCATTTTATGGTCAGAATTTAATCTTCTCATAAATAGCCTTGCCATAGCATATATAGCAGGAAATGGACTTCCCTTTGGAAGACTCTCAAAATGTAGAAAGCTTTTTGAAGATTTTACATTTTTTAAACTGATTTAGTCCTTGTTTTTCTAAAGAAAGAGAAAAGCCTAAAATATGTTGCTTATGGAGAACACTTCTGTGAATTCTGACTCTTAAAGTTGTATATTATATTGAACTGGATGGTGTGCTATATCATTTTAAAATTTCTTTTTGCTGTGGACTATTTCAGGCACACATACAAAGGTAGAAGAGTATAGGGAGCCCTTGTTTATTATTTAGCTTTAACAATTGTTAACTAGTGGCCAATTTTGTTTCATCCGTAAGACCACTTACGTTGCTCTGCCCTCACTGGATTGATCTGATGCTATTTCTTTTTTTAATAGCCATGTATCATTCTATTGTAGGATTGTACCATAATTTAACAAAGCCACTTTTGGGTGTTTTGTTATTTAAAGTTTTTCACTTTTTGAAACAATTAGCATAATCTTGTGTACATATTGTTATTCACTTGTCCAATTATTTTCTTATTAAAAGAGCTAGGTTTGTTAAGTCACGGTAATTTCAGGTGCACATTGCCATGTGTAACCCCATAGGGGTTATGCCAGTGTTTCAAACTGAGAATACCTATTTAATCTTCATTAAAGTAAGATGCAGAAAAACATATCTTATTCTACTTTGTTTACTTTATTAATATTAGATCTTAATGCATTTTTGGGTGGACTTGCAAAATAAAAATTATTAAAAAGATCTTGAAATGTTAAATGTAGATGCTTGGGAAGAGAGGCCAGGTGCGGTGGTTCATGCCTGTAGTTCTAGCACTTTGGGAAGCTGAGGTGGGCAAATCGCTTGAGCTCAGGAGTTTGAGGCCAGCCGGGGCAACATGATGAAACCCCATCGCTACCAAAAATGCAAAAATTAGCCAGGCTCATAACCCAGACTCTACATGGATGGATGGATGGATCATGGATGAATGGATGGATGGATGGATGGATGGATGGATGGATGGATGGATGGATAGATACGTAAAAATTTAGAAATTAAAAAAATGTATCTTGGGAAGAGAGTCTTCAAGATAGTGGGGAAATGAATTTTGAGTAAAGACTGGCTAAGAAGTTGTAGCCAGACTACACTAGTCATGTTTTGGCTAGAGAAGGGAGCCTTATTTAAAGAAGGGCAACCATAAGGAAAAACAGAGTTAGGTAGCTGCTCTCATCAAAGGCCTATAGGCTCGAATGCAGGCCTGGAAAGATAAATAGGACATGTTGAAGGAAGAAATGATAGCGTTTGATTATTTTTGTGGTGATTTTTTTTTTGTAAAGGTGATGACATTTAAAAATTCAGTAAACTAAGATGCAGGGGATAAATTTTATATGAATTAATATTAGAAATGGGTTAAGAGTGTTTTTTGTGGAGTTCTTTCCTGAAAGTGTAAGTAGTTTATATTATTTTTTAGCCTGAATATGGGTTATTTGCTAAGTACCCTTTCAGACACAGTATGCTTTAATATTTAAGATCTCATTCAAAAAAAATTTTTCTAATTTCCCTCATACCCTCTCTGTCTGAAATATTTAAGATCTAAGGAATAGTTGAGCTGCTTATTTTACATAGAGGCACTATTCTTTTAACTCCTACATTCTGAATGCTGAAGTCAGTGTTAATTTACGTTAGGCCAGATTGATTGGGCTGCATTGGCCCAAGCTTGGATTGCCCAAAGAGAAGCTTCAGGACAGCAAAGCATGGTAGAACAACCACCAGGAATGATGCCAAATGGACAAGATATGTCTACAATGGAATCTGGTCCAAACAATCATGGGAATTTCCAAGGGGATTCAAACTTCAACAGAATGTGGCAACCAGGTTTGTTGTTTATGTTTTCACAATTTTAAGACTTTTAAAAAACAGAATGAAGATTATTATTAAATTTTTTAATTTGCTTAGTTGTATGACTTCTGGAAATTAATGCTTCTTAAAGAATAGGCAGTTTTCAATTTGATTTGACTTTGACATTTTGTGGTTAAAATTATTCTGTACTCATTCTGCTAGCTTTGTGGCACTCAGTTTGATTCTTTTCTTGGTTCTTCATTCCTAGGCTGACAGGGGCTGGGAACACTCTGGAAACCTCACTTGGCATCTAGGGAAGAGAGCATTCTTTGTCTCTCTATTGCAACCTCTGGCCTTTTCAGAAGCAGCACTGGCAGAGTAAAACATGTCTAGCCTCTAATTAAAGAAAAATTGTGTCACTGTGTGACAAATTAGTCTGTCAAATATACTCTGCCCCTACCATCCGCCTACCTTTTTCTTCCCTTTTTTTTTTTCAGATAGTGAAGATCTTTCATAAGTTTTTGTGTGTTTTACTTTTTTGTTTGTTTTATTTCACAGTATGATGTAGATTTCTTGATGCTAATTCAGTCTTCCATGGCTTGTGTTATTCCTTTTTAATAGTCACTTGAAACTATGGAGGAATCAGCCTCTCATTTGGGTATGCTGATGGTGAAGTCATAACCTCCTTTCCCTATTAATACTTTTTGTTTCTCCTTATAAGAATGGAGACCTCAGTCGAGACCAGCCTGGGCAACATAGCAAGGCCCTGTCTCTACAAAAAAAAAAAAAAAAAAAACCTTAAAACTTAGTCAGGCATAGAGGCGCATGCCTGTAGTCCCAGCTACTTGGGAGGCTGAGGTGGGAGGATTGCTTGAGCCTAGGGGATTGAGACTGCAATGAGCTGTGATCACGCCACTGCACTCCAGCCTGGGTGACAGAATGAGTCCCTCATTTAAAACAAACAAACAAAAAAAACGAGAATTCAGATTACTTTTAAAAACATAAATATTCTAGTCTTTGATACTGTGAGGTGGTTCATTTCTAGCTTTCTTGAAAGTGAAATTTCCCCACATTTGAAAATGTTTTAGTTCCTAAGTTTAAGTTCTTAAATGACTCCCGCGGGCATCCCTACCCCTTAGTTTTACTCTACTTTGTGACCCTGGGCAAGTGATTTACCTCTGTGTGCCTCGATTTTCCCTCCCGAAATTGGCAAAAATAATACCTAATTTCTCCCTACCTCACAGGGATGTTGTGAGGATAAATGTGTTCGTGTAAGAAAGAAATTATATAAAACCTCAAGGTATTATTTTTGTGGTGTTGTTACTAAACAAATATAAAAATTCAACAAAAATAGTGCTTTGGATTTTGTTACATTTGTTAAAAATAACTTTGGGCATTTGGTTAGGATATGAATTAGAGTGGAGTTAGCTCATTTTGAATTATATATGACAGTTTAGTTCATTGCTTATTTTTAAGATAAACAAAAGGAATTTGACCAAGAAGTCATAAGTTGTTTTTTAAATCTGTATGTTTACTGAAAAATCTTTCTTGAGATCTTAAAATTCTGTGTTGATTTTGTTATAACCGCCTGTTGAATGTTTTTATGCCTAAATCTTAAATAGAATGGGGAATGCATCAGCAACCCCCACACCCCCCTCCAGATCAGCCATGGATGCCACCAACACCAGGCCCAATGGACATTGTTCCTCCTTCTGAAGACAGCAACAGTCAGGACAGTGGGGAATTTGCCCCTGACAACAGGCATATATTTAACCAGAACAATCACAACTTTGGTGGACCACCCGATAATTTTGCAGTGGGGCCAGTGAACCAGTTTGACTATCAGGTGAAAGATATTTTGTTGCTTTAATATTGTAGATGTGCACGTAATCCATTCTTTGGAAGTGTCTCATCAAGAATACCTAAGATACGTGTTTCACTTTTCAGACTTGTATAAATAAGCACATTCTGTCTCAGTTATCAATTTTTGAGTATTAAAATAATTAGAATTTGTTTTCTGATTTTTTTATTTCATTAGGAAAATGGTATAAAAGATCATTACGGAAAACTTTTGAAAAAATTAAAAATGTATAAGTGCAATAGCTATATGATGTTTTATTTTCTAATTTATATTTCAAAATGGTATATTTAAATGTTAAAGACTAGAGAATGCACAGTAATTGAATATAGCTCATGGTTAAGACATGAATAAAAAATATAGATCATTTTCCTAAGTGTAATTCCTTGTGCTATGTAGAATTATGACTGTTTTTCTAGTGTCATTTTTTTTCCATTCTGACATGACATGTTAATGGAATTGTATATAATTTCCTCTGTAGCATCCAATTCATTCCTAGGGACATAGAACTCTGTGGGGAATAGTGTTGTATGTTGGGCTTTATTTACTTCATTCCCTCTGCCAGGGTCTACCCTTAAATTATAGTGCTAGGTGTCATTTTGAAATAACTGATTGCAATTATTAACTTATAAACTGCTATCATAATTTAAAATTTTGAAAGAATTATTTCATGAATTCTAGGGTAGATTTGATAATGGACATCTAGTATTCACCTTGAGATGGTAATCCTCTCATTAATAAATATTCAGATACTTGTATACTTGGTATACAGATACAACAGTTTTTATGTTGTTTGAAGAAATATAATGGCAGGGAGCATCTGCTTACCCTACTTTTGCATGGTAGATCCCATGTAAACAAGACAAAGAGCTGTATTGGCAGCTGGCCTAGAAAAGCCTCTGAAAATAGCAAAATTGCAGAAAATATTTAATGATTCATTAACTTCTATCTTTGCTTATAAATGAATATATCTGCAAGATTATAGAAACAGCTTAAGTTGTTTAGTTCACTTTTTGTTCACTGTAAGTAGGATGTTGAAATTGACAAAAATGTCTAGTTAAAGAGAAATTAGTATCTATTTGATGTCTTAGTGTTGGTAGGATTAGCTTGTAAATGGATTCAGAATGAAAAATTTCATATACTTCTTGAAAGTAGCTTATCAGCTGGCTTTTAGAAGCCTCTTTGCATTTACATAGCCGGAAAATCTTAAGACAAGTAAGCCTAGGTTCTTGGGACCATAGAAGTATCGGTGGATATTAGAGCCATGGAATTCTTGGATGTGCTGCACACATGGATTTCTACTGTCCCAGTTCATAACACACGTGTGTCCCAGAGAGTATATTGTATTAATTTGAAGAAAAAATAAACTGCAATACTCTTTCAGCATGGGGCTGCTTTTGGTCCACCGCAAGGTGGATTTCATCCTCCTTATTGGCAACCAGGACCTCCAGGACCTCCAGCACCTCCCCAGAATCGAAGAGAAAGGCCATCATCATTCAGGGATCGTCAGCGTTCACCTATTGCACTTCCTGTGAAGCAGGAGCCTCCACAAATTGGTAGCTATTTAACTTAGTTTAGTGGACCACAATTGGCATGACTTTTTTATCATATAAAAAGGATGTCTTGTTTTCTTAAAATTGTTTGAGTATCTCTGATGTGTTAGGAATTGACACTTTATTTTTTATGGTCATAAAGCTTAAAATTACAAAAATGATACTGGTCTGAAATTAAAAGGTTTAAATAATTTTATTTAAACCTTTACATTAAATTCCAGATTTTGTGATGAAGTGAAAATTTATGCTAGCCATAGCATGTTGGTATTTTCTTCAGTGTAGGCATTTCAGTACATTATACAGATATATGAGCCCTTCTCCTTTTAAATCTAATTGTTCAATCTCTGTCCACTCTTAGTTCATCTGATGCACTGCTGTCAGATTAATTTTCCTCTGGTTATTTCACTTCCCTTAAGTATTTTGGCAGAAAATTTCAATTTTTTAAATAACATTATAGAGCCAGCCTATTTCAAGTGACAAATACATATTTATGCCACTTTATATCTGGAAAGTTCTAAATTGTTCAGTATTTAATGGACAGGAGCATTTGTTAATAAATCTTTACTTTTTACATTTTAGGAAGATTCTAACTTTACTCCTTTTTTAACTTACTAGCAAATCACTTAATTTTTTCGAGTCTCAGTTTCCTCACCTGTGGAAAAAAGTGGAGTAATAGTAGTGATCTCTGAGGGCTTTTGTAAGGATTAAATTAGATGATGGTTTAACATGCTTTCATTGTGTCCTGGCAGATTGTAAGCACTAGAGCAGTGGTCCCTGCTGTTACTAAAAGTGATGGCATTGAAGAAAGGCATGATATTTAATGGGATATTTTTTAAATTTACTCACAAGTTTGTAGAAATATTTTACTTAACTGACTTGCGTATATTTTTCCCACGTGAAACAGACGCAGTAAAACGCAGGACTCTTCCCGCTTGGATTCGCGAAGGTCTTGAAAAAATGGAACGTGAAAAGCAGAAGAAATTGGAGAAAGAAAGAATGGAACAACAACGTTCACAATTGTCCAAAAAAGAAAAAAAGGCCACAGAAGATGCTGAAGGAGGGGATGGCCCTCGTTTACCTCAGAGAAGTAAATTTGTAAGTAGAATCCCCAACATGAAACTCCATGTGAAAATCTTGGTTGTGTGAAAACTTTACTGAAATAGATATTTTAGCCTATAGGAAAGTATTAGAGTGATGTTCCTAAGATTACGTTCATTAAGTATATTGAGGATTCTGATTTTATATATGTGTTACTGAAGATACAGTAAGGAGAAAATGGGACAACAAGTTTATAAACACTTCATTCCAGAGAGCTGGCTAGATCTTGATAAACAATCTGTATTCATTCATTGTGGTACAGATGACTCCCTGGTGATAGATTATAAAACAAAGCTACATTAAAATAGTAATAGAGAAATAAAATCTCCCTCTTTTGAACATTTAAACATATACCTGAGGATGTAATAATTTTGATTGTTTTTGACGTGAGCACTGGAAGTATAACAACATTTTAAGTCTTCAAATCTTCCTCAGTTAGATGGCTTGAGTGGTTTAGGAACTTTTTTATTCAGCAGGTATGATAGCCACAGCACTGGCCAGTATGCAACTCAGGAAATTTGTCTGTCTTGCACGGCCATTTTCTGCTTTAGAAATAAGTCTCAAGAAGAGCAAAATAACTAGATTTTGGCAGGTATTAGTTTTGCTTCAATTCCATAAATTACTTTTATTTTTCCCAAAAGATCTATGCAAAATCTGTGTTTTTATTCTAGATGTTAAATAACAAAAATAAGAAGCAACAGAAAGACACTGCTAAAGGTTACTCTTTTTTTTTTTTTTTGTCTTTTTAGGCAGTTGGGGGATCAGGGTCTCACTCTGTTGCCCAGGCTGGAGTGCAGTTGCACAATCATAGCTCAGCGTAGCCTTGAACTCCTGGACTCAAGCAATCCTCTCACCTCAGCCTTCCAAGTAGCTAGGGCTACAGGCGCACACCACGACTCCCACCTAATTTTTGTATTTTTCGTAGAGACGGGGTTTCACCGTGTTGCCCAGGCTGGTCTTGAACTCCTGGCTTCAAATGATTCTCCCACCTCGGCCCCCCAAAGTGCTGGGATTACAGACATTAGCCACTCTGTCCAGTCTTTTTTTAAAAAAAAATCTTTACATGAAATAGTGGTGTTCCAAATTTTTTTTAAGCATCAAAAATTGTTTGGAAATTTTCCTTCCTCTTTTCTCCCAAATGCCTGTGGGATTGTGTTACATATATTTTTCCCCTGGTTCAGGTAGTCTTTCCACAGTAGTATTTAGGTGGTCATCTTGTCTTTTACTTAGTGGGATTATTAAAAGTGACTAGGGGACACTTCTCTGACAAAGGAAAGGGTCACATGCAATCTGGATCCTGAAACCTAAAACCATACAAAGACAGGAGACAAACTGCTGGCATTTGTTTAATCTGAAGTAGACCTCATTTTTATCTTTTTATTATGAGCTAAAAAGAAGCATGTTTTACTGAGTTTCAGGGCCAGCTGAGATCTTGGCCCTGAAAAATCTGATTAGAGATTTTTCATTTTAAGTCGTGCAACTTTAGGTAAATAGCTTAAATATATAGCTGTAAAAGTTATACTGAATAATATGTCTATGGTCCATTTATCCAAAGTTCTATAAGTGTCTCATTTCAGGCCCATTATATGTAATAGATAGTAATTAAATCAGTCTCTGGGCATTATGTTTTTCTGGGTATTTATAAAATAAGGTTAAAATTGACTAAGGGAAAAGTAAAATTGAAAAAACAATTTATTTTCCTAAGCCTTCTTGTAATCTTACATTTTTCCCAGGTTATACTTTTTAAATTATCAAATGAAATCTGTAGTAAATGTAATTTAGATAGCAGTTTCACTCATATTTCTGTTTCATAGACTTTTTAATTTGGGGTTTAAGATTTTCTGTATGTAAGATAAGGATTTTACATTATACACATGAATTTGGACTACCATACTATTGTTTTTTATAGGATAGTGATGAGGAAGAAGAAGACACTGAAAATGTTGAGGCTGCAAGTAGTGGGAAAGTCACCAGAAGTCCATCCCCAGTTCCTCAAGAAGAGCACAGTGACCCTGAGATGACTGAAGAGGAGAAAGAGTATCAAATGGTAGAATGTTAAAGTTCTTACTATGTACATGGATTTATTTCGTTTGCAATTTTTTTTGGAGACAATATTAGAGGAAAAAACAGAAACTAGAACTGCTGACCAGTATTATTAATTGAAGAGATACTCCTTTTAACTTAAAACAATTATAGAAACCTTTATTAATAGGGACTTTTTTAAATGTTTTGATTTCAGGCTGGGGTAATCCTAGTACTTCAGGGGACCAAGGCAGGAGGATTGCTTGAGTCCAGGAGTTCAAGACCAACCTGGGCACTGCAGTGAGACCTTGTCTCTACAAAAAATTAGCCGGGCATAGTGAGGTGCACCTGCAGTCCCAGCAACTCAGGAAGTTGTGGTGGGAGGATTGTTTGAGCCTGGGAAGCAGAGGTTGCAGTGAGCCGAGGTGGTGCCACTGCGTTCCATCCTGGGTGACAGAGTGAGACCCTGTCTCGGAAAAAAAAGAAAGAAAAAAGTGTTTTGAATTCAGTGTGTCTACTATACAGATACATTTATAATATTTTTTTCTTTGATCCGTATGATTTCGGAATATTTATTTATTTATTTATGGAGATGGAGTCTCGCTCTGTTGCCCAGGCTGGAGTGCAATGGCAGGATCTTGGCTCACTGCAACCTCTGCCTCCTGAGTTCAAGCAGTTCTCCTGCCTCTGCCTCCCGAGTAGTTGGGATTGCAGGTGCCCACCACCATGCCTGGCTAATTTTTGTATTTTTTCAGTAGAGACAAGGTTTCGCCATGTTGTTCAGGCTGGTGTCGAACACCTGACCTCAGGTGATCCGCCCACCTCGGCCTCCCAAAGTGCTGGGATTACAGGTGTGAGCCACTGCACCCAGCCTGGAATTTTGTTGAAGTTTTGATGTTACAGAAAAATGTTCAAGATACTTTATTCCTTGAAATGGCTGCTCTGATGTCTAAAAATATTTTATAAAATGGTTTTGTGGCTGGGCACGGTGGCTCACGCCTGTAATCCCAGTGCTTTGGGAGGCCAAGGCAGGCAGATCACTTGAGATCAGGAGTTTAAGACAAGCCTGGCCAACATGGTGAAACCCCATCTCTACTGAAAATACAAAAATTAGCTGGGTGTGGTGGTGCACGCCTGTAGTTCCAGCCACTTGGGAGACTGAGGCAAGAGAATCACTTGAACCCAGGAGGTAGGGGTTGCAGTGAGCCAATATCACGCCAGTATGATCCAGCCTGGGCAACAGAGTGAGACTGTCTGAAAAAAAAAATGGCTTTGCATTTTAATATTTTTGAAGATGTCACACTATTAGTAGCTATAATAATTAGAAATACTGTATAAAATGCTCTTTTTTAGATGTTGCTGACAAAAATGCTTCTAACAGAAATTCTGCTGGATGTCACAGATGAAGAAATTTATTACGTAGCCAAAGATGCACACCGCAAAGCAACGAAAGGTATATTTTGGTGTTTCTGGTTTTGCTTTTCCTGGGGTATTTTGGTTCTGATGACTATTTTGGCCTTTTTTTGTTGTCCTTGTTGGATTTCTACCAGATATTTGAATATTCTCTTGCATGTTTTAACTCTTAAAGATTAGATTCGTAGACACCATATTAAAGCTATACAAATATTTTTGTTTTATCTGACCTACATGAGTACAAATTAGCAATCATGCTGTTTTCCTCTAAAATGTATTGTGGAAAATTCCAGGTGTTCAGTTTATTTCACCTGATTTTTTTTAATAGATAACATGGCATTGTTGTGTGACTTCTGATACAGTTTATTTTGACTAATGAATTTTGAATTATCTACCTACAATTTTTAGTTTACCACTTATCTCTTACAGAAGCAAGTGATTTCCTACCCCTAGATTTTTAGTAACACCTTAAAAATGTATTGAAAACAAAAATTAAGTTACATGTCATAATCTCAGAAGTAGACATACAGATATACCTGTCAACATTTTTTCTCATTATAAACCAATTTCAGCTCACATCAGAGTTATAATTTCAAAGCCAGACATGATACTGGTTTAAAATGAATGTTATGTTTTTAATGTTTCTTCTCTCCCCAAAAAGCAGCAATAGTAGTAGATTTAACAATACCATAGACTCATGACTATGAAATCGTGGCTATTTGTGTTAACATGTTGTTCCTGTTGTTGATGTGATACAAAGCTCCTGCAAAACAGCTGGCACAGTCCAGTGCACTGGCTTCCCTCACTGGACTCGGTAAGTGTTTTCCATATTTGTGAGAGGGCCTAAAGGGAAAAATCACACATACATTGTCTCTCTGCGTGTTCTATTTTGAAACTGTATTAGTCCTACTCAGTTTATAAAAACCTAGGTCTTAGGGTTATGTCATCCTGTCTAAAAAGGTTTGCCTATTTTTTTGACTAACGCATTCACAGTGAGAAATTTATAAATGTGATGGTTAATTCATAGTTTATTGGGGCAGGTTATATTGGAAGATTTCCTTATTGCTCCAATATATGCATTTTATATATATATAATTATATATGAACACCTATAGTTTGTACTTAATAATTCATAATTTAGCCATGATAGTATCTAAGCTCACTTTCAGAATTATTGCATACATGCCTTAGGGAAGAACCTATCCACTAATGCTTTTAATAACTTACATAGATTGTGTTGCGGCAAGTCAAGTTTTAATATAGAGGAAAGGGTTTATCTTATCATAGTAAAATAGTAGTGATGTGTTCATAATTTACTATTTGCATGGTATATTATCAAGGCTGTAAAAGCTTGAATTTGCCTTTTCCACATCTTCATTTCAAATTAATTTTTGTGAGGACCCAGAGAAGTGGGTAGAACCAAATGCCCATGTGGTTTTGTTATGGTTATTTAGATCATTTCAGGGTGGGGAGTATTTTCAGCACCATAATATTTCTGTACCAGGGAGATTATAGTATTCTAATTTTTTTAGGGAAAAATTGCTTAGCTCTAGGGATTTCTAAACTTTGAACAATAAAAGTTAATTTTAGAAATACTTTCAGGGTCATCATTAAGCTTTAGCGTGGCTTTGTTACTGCCCTGTTAAGTAGTTTTGTTGGTTAGTATGGACAGTACAGCAAACCCATTATCATTCCTTTACAGTGAGAAAAATATGAAATAGTCCAGAAAGAATAAGATATTAAGTAACCTTTGCCTGAAGGTTCTGTGAACTCCTTAAGCGTTTGAATGTATACTTCTCCCCACCCCGAATAAGCGTATTCTTCTGGGAAAAGGCAATGAAAAAAGAAATGAACTTTCTTCTCAGACCTTGAAAAGTTTTTAGTGCATAGTATAATTTTTTTCATATGATAGACTGAGCTTTATGCACACAGGTGGACTGGGTGGTTATGGATCAGGAGACAGTGAAGATGAGAGGAGTGACAGAGGATCTGAGTCATCTGACACTGATGATGAAGAATTACGGCATCGAATCCGGCAAAAACAGGAAGCTTTTTGGAGAAAAGAAAAAGAACAGCAGCTATTACATGATAAACAGATGGAAGGTGTAGTATACCTTTTAGACTTAATTTTGGTCCAGTTTTGTATTTCTTTTTATTTTTTAACTAACCTAAAAATATCAAAGGATAAAATAAAGGCTATATTATAAATAATATGTGATATAACTGAAACTAAAGTCACAATTTTTGTTTGGTTGTTTTAGGAGCCATTTATTGCAGTGGCTATAAGCCAAGCTATTTAGGGTATTTTTATTTCTTGCTAAAAGTCTTGAAATGAAAAAGATGACTTTTGAAATGGGAAAAATATATTTGTAAGACTATTGAAAAGTAATTTGTAGCTAGGATATATAAGGATAATAGAGAACCTAGAAGTTTTTTACTTAAGATACTTTACCTAATACTAGGAATAACAAAAGAGAAAATTTACTTAGAATTTCTTCTTTGAAAAATCTAAGGTAATTAAGAGTTAGCAGCTAAGACTTCTCTATAAACCACTTACTTACCTTTAAAATTTTGCTTTAGTTGGACAAAAGGGAAGTCTTTTCCTACTTGCCTCACACCCACCTCTACATCTTGATACTGTATTTTGCTACACTGTCCAGGAGGGTAACGTAACTAACTACAAGCTATAGAGAACTTGAAATGTGGCTAGGCATGTGCTGTGGGTATAAATTACATGCTAGATTTCAAAAACTTTACTTGAAAAAGAGAACAGAATTTTTTTAAATTTATTATGTGTTGAAATGATAATATTTTTGGTATATTGGGTTATTTTACCTGTTTCTTTTTACTTTTTTAATGTGGTTACTAAAAAATTTTGAATTACTTACATGGCTTGCATCGTAATTCTATTGAAAATGGTGTTCTATTGTTACAGTCTGGTAGCTTGACATTTGGTAGTATGAGAATTTTACATGAACATTTTCTTAGTGTTTTTGTCTTTTTCTGTTTCAGAAGAAAAGCAGCAAACAGAAAGGGTTACAAAAGAGATGAATGAATTTATCCATAAAGAGCAAAATAGTTTATCACTACTAGAAGCAAGAGAAGCAGACGGTGATGTGGTTAATGAAAAGAAGAGAACTCCAAATGAAACCACATCAGTTTTAGAACCAAAAAAAGAGCATAAAGAAAAAGAAAAACAAGGAAGGAGTAGGTCGGGAAGTTCTAGTAGTGGTAGTTCCAGTAGCAATAGCAGAACTAGTAGTACTAGTAGTACTGTCTCTAGCTCTTCATACAGTTCTAGCTCAGGTAGTAGTCGTACTTCTTCTCGGTCTTCTTCTCCTAAAAGGAAAAAGAGACACAGTAGGAGTAGATCTCCAACAATCAAAGCTAGACGTAGCAGGAGTAGAAGCTATTCTCGCAGAATTAAAATAGAGAGCAATAGGGCTAGGGTAAAGATTAGAGATAGAAGGAGATCTAATAGAAATAGCATTGAAAGAGAAAGACGACGAAATCGGAGTCCTTCCCGAGAGAGACGTAGAAGTAGAAGTCGCTCAAGGGATAGACGAACCAATCGTGCCAGTCGCAGTAGGAGTCGAGATAGGCGTAAAATTGATGATCAACGTGGAAATCTTAGTGGGAACAGTCATAAGCATAAAGGTGAGGCTAAAGAACAAGAGAGGAAAAAGGAGAGGAGTCGAAGTATAGATAAAGATAGGAAAAAGAAAGACAAAGAAAGGGAACGTGAACAGGATAAAAGAAAAGAGAAACAAAAAAGGGAAGAAAAAGATTTTAAGTTCAGTAGTCAGGATGATAGATTAAAAAGGAAACGAGAAAGTGAAAGAACATTTTCTAGGAGTGGTTCTATATCTGTTAAAATCATAAGACATGATTCTAGACAGGATAGTAAGAAAAGTACTACCAAAGATAGTAAAAAACATTCAGGCTCTGATTCTAGTGGAAGGAGCAGTTCTGAGTCTCCAGGAAGTAGCAAAGAAAAGAAGGCTAAGAAGCCTAAACATAGTCGATCGCGATCCGTGGAGAAATCTCAAAGGTCTGGTAAGAAGGCAAGCCGCAAACACAAGTCTAAGTCCCGATCAAGGTAGTATACTTTTTAAAGTATTTTGTCTGATTTTTAAAAAAAATTGACTGAATTTATTCAAAGTTGAAAGTGTCCTTTCTCTCTCTCTTTAATAAACTCAGTTTGGTACTTGATAAATAATCATAGTCTTAAATGTTAGAAATCCTATATAATATTATTTATTTAAAATTGCAGATTTTTAATTTAAAATACATTTTTATTTTTAAATTTTGTCTTTTCCCTTTTTTTTCAGATCAACAACCCCTCCCCGTCGTAAACGCTGAGGAATGATGTGGCAAGAATGCCATGATGTTCTTTAAAAAAATTCCATGAGTTTTAAGGGCTTGTCTCATTATAGAGGCACATTGTGGCTGTGTAGGTGAAACCAGAATCTTTTTTTTTTTTAATCTGTAAATAGGTGTACTTTTTCCAATGCTGCTCCAAGTTACTTAATAGGATTTCTTTGTATTACGTTTTTTTCAAAAAATATAGTGCATAATAAGACTATAAACATGCCATTCTCTTTCAGCTGTAATGTTCTTAAAATTATTCTTGAATGTACTGTGATGTCAATAAAGCTCTTTAGTTCATTTTTGTTAAACTCTTGCACCTTAATTTTATGGTTTTAATCTAAGGAACGTACTTTTATAAAAAGGCAGCTGGAATTTTGTATAACAGGTTTTAAAGGTACCTTCTCTCACCTCCCCCAAAGAAAATGGTTTTTACTTAATAGTTTGTCAAAGTTTGTAAATTGTACCCATGGACTTTTGCCAGATTCCAACTTTAAGGGTATGAAAGAGGGCTAGAAATAGACCTTTACTTTTCATTTGGAAGTATTTGACAACTTTCTAAACTTTTCTTCCTATTTTGGGGATTTTCAAGTAATATATTCTCTGTGTGTATAACGTGTGGTTCACTCCTGTAAAATGAAATTGCTGGAATCAATCAAGCCAGTGCACCAGTAGAGTTATTTGTAAGGAACGATTGTGTTTGACAGTAATAGTCAAGTCTGGAACTATATTCTACAGTCACCCACTTCTGTTTTAGAAGCATTTTGAAACACTTTTTGGGGTTATAGAAATAAGACTCATGATTCAATATATTTATTTATATTTTTAAAGTATAATATGACCTCAAATCAATGGAGGAATGCTGTATTATGCAGGTTTGTGTCAATTTCCTGACATTAAAATTGTCTGATTTTGTCCGTTTCTTAAAATTATGATTAGTGAGTGGTCTAACAGTTTAAGGCATTGATAACTTACAAGTAGAATGGGGCTCTCAAAGCATTTTAACTCAGTTGCTTTAGGGTCCATTTTTTTATGTAATCACTTACTCAGTGATAAATGAATCTCTGAAAACAAATGCTTTTACATTTTAATTTAAAAAGAAAACAGGTGCAGGCCACAGAAAAGTTTTAAAGTATGCCTTCTTACCAGCAATAGTTCATTTTAAAAATCATGCCAGATTTTTGCCAAGATCAGTGTTTCCTCAACATGAAGATAGAAATAGATTTGTATAGTGTGCTCTTGTACCTCTACATAGATTATTATATAATTTTGAGCAGTTACACATTTATCTAAAGGAAATAAATCAACTGTGAATAAATGCATGTTTACCAAAATGGCTGTTTACAGTGCATTTAGTTCTGATATTTATAAAGATGACATTTCACAGAATAACTTTAAAATAGTTTGAAATTCTATATAGTTTAGACATCGATCACATCTGGAGACAAAATAAAATGTGCAATATTTTTTATGTAGGCGAGCTAACACAGTGTACCTAATTGCAGAATTATCTGATTAATTTGTAATAGATAAGTTGTATAACATTTTCATATCTTAAAATGTTTTTTAGATCAATCTTGAAGTGAAATATTTTCAAAATAAAATTCTACAGAAAAATTCTGTTGGCTATGATATGCACATTTTTGGGCAAGTTATGAACTAGAGCCAAAAGTAGTATTTGACAGTTTTATTTACTCTGCCGTAATTTGCAAGCTTATCAGTTAAGTCTGTAGTTTTTTTAAAAGCCGTCATGATATTTGTGATTATTAGTACATAAACCAGTGTTATAATTTGATATTTGGGTTTTTCAGACTTTTAGTGGCAGATTTAGAGAATTCTTTATTTTCTTGACATGTGATATAGTATTTATTTACCTTGAGTGGTAAGGTTTTATAAGGTAGGGTTTCCATGATTTAGGATGTGAATGCAAAAACTTACACATAAGTTAATTAGATGTATAATTTGGTTATGAAATCTTTTCTAAAATAATACCACCAGAAAATTAACAGATCAAATTTTTGAGACAATCCTTGGTCTGGATTGGTTAATGAAAATGTCTTGTTTAAGAGGTTCTATTAAAAAATATTTCTAGTGTATTAGTCATAATTGTTTTTGTGGAGTGGGGGTAAACCACACCATTAAGGGAATAAAATGTAATTTGAAAGAGGTGATTATAAGATTTGTTTCAGGCCCCAAAATATAAATAAAAATTGGTGTGGAATCTCGTTAGTGTATATGTTTTCTGCCACTATAAAATTACCTTTTTAGCATCTGTTTCTAGTGGTGTAATACCAAGTAGGTAAATTTCGCAGTCTATTTTTAAGTGTCCTGAGTTTTTTGTTTCCTTAAACACATGAAAGGTAATAGTAAAGAATTTTTTACTGTATTTGGGAATTTTTACATAGGAGTTGTATTAGGTTTCCAGTCTCTGTAGTGTTGCCTTACAGAAATCTTTACATCTAAACTGAGTTTTTCTTCTCCTACATAAATTTAAATGTATTTTGATTTACTGAAGTTTCTAAAATGTACTGAGTACAGACATACACCACATAACGACGTTTCAGTCAATGACGGGCCACATGTACAACAGTGGTCCCATAAGATTATAATGTATTTTTACTGTACCTTTTCTGTGTTTAAATACACAAAACCATGATATTACAGTTGCCTACAGTTTTCAATATAGTATTTGTAGCCTAGGAGCAAAAGGCTATACCATGTAGCCTGGGTGTGTAGTAGTCTATACCATCTAGGTTTATGTAAGTATACTCTGTGATGTTCACATCACAATGAAATCACCTAATGACACATTTCTCACATGTCCCCAAGTTAAGCAACTGCATAGTTGCTGTTTCTTGCTTTTTGAGATGGAGTCTTTCTCTGTTGCCCAGCCTGGAGTGTAGTGGCGCAGTCTCAGCTCACTGCAAACTCTGCCTCCTGGGTTCAAGTGATTCTCTTGCCTCAGCCTCCTGAGTAGCTGGGATTACAGCACCCACCACCACATCTGGCTAATTTTTGTGTTTTTAGTAGAAACGGTTTCACCATGTTGGCCAGCTGGTCTCGAACTCCTGACCTCAGGCGATCCACCCGCCTTGGCCCCCCAAAGTACTGGGATTACAGGCGTGAGCCACCGCTCCCAGCCGATTGCATAAATGGAAGTAGTAGTAGAGTCATTGGATTGAGCTGGCTCTGTTTCTTGATGTGTTTTAGGCAAATCACTAAATCACCATGGGCCTTAACTTCTTCAGCTGTGTAAGGGAGGAATTAGATGAATTTTTTTTTTTTTTTTTTTTGAGATGGAGTCTCGCTCTGTCACCAGGCTGGAGTGCAGTGGTATGATCTTGGCTCTGCAACCTCCGCCTCCCAGGTTCAGACAACTCTCCTGCCTCAGCCACCCAAGTAGCTGGGACTACAGGTGTGCGCCAACATGCCCAGCTAATTTTCGTATTTTTAATAGAGACAGGGTTTCATGTTGGCCAGGATGGTCTTGACCTCGTGATCCGCCTGCCTCGGCCTCCCAACATGCTGGGATTGCAAGTGTATGCCACCGCACCTGGCCAAATTAGATTAGTTCTAAACACATCTAGCTGTTAAGTTTTTCAGTTTTAAGTGGAATTTTGTTGTGTAAAATTTAAAAGAGAAAATGGGCTTTAGCTCTTCAAAAAGCACACATGGGTTATATTTATATCATAAAGGTTTATCAGATACCTATAGAGTTCCTTTAAAGATACCTTGGTTAAATCTGCCACATTCTGATTTTGGTAGAAGTTATGATAGAATTATTCTGAGTTACCAATTTATGTAAAATTTTTAAGTAAATGTGAAAACTTACCAGTTAAACTGAGTGGATGTAGTGGTATATCTCTTTTTTTTTTTTTTTTTTGAGACACAGTCTTGCTCTGTTGCCCAGGCTAGAGTGCAATGGCGTGATCTCAGCTTACTGCAACCTCCACCTCTCTTGTTCAAGCGATTCTCCTGCCTCAACCTCCCAAGTAGCTGGGATTACAGGATTCCATCACCACTCTCAGCTAGTTTTTGTACTTTTTGTAGTAGAGATGGGGTTTCACCATGTTGGCCAGGCTGGTCTTGAACTCCTGACCTCAGGTGATCCGCCCACCTCAGCCTCCCAAGGTGCTGGGATTACAGGTGTCAGCCTCCACGCCCAGCTGTATATCATTTCAAAGCTACAAGGGAGCACTTTACCCTTGGATGAAAAAAAAAATGTTTATAAAGTTGAATTACAAAACAGACATTAAGAGTTTTAGAGCAAAATAAATACGCAGACTTACGGGTGAGACCATAACAATAATAGTCTGGGGAAATATCTCCAACAATGGCCATATACTGCATTACAGCCATTACAACTTTCCAATACCACTTAGGCTTAAGGGTCATTGGGAAAGCCCTTTGTTGATGTTTGTAGCGAGAAATACTATGAGCTAGTTTTGCTTATTTGGGCCAGACCTGTTCTGGGTGTTCAAAAGACATACTTGTCAGCATAAAGCAAATCATTGATTCCCCTTCTTGTTAAAATGTAGTGGAAAGGCTCTGAAGCCCAGTGAAGTGTGGTACCTTCAAAGAAAGTACATATAAAGCTCCTAGAACTTTATTTAATTGTGCTTGCACTTTGCTTTTTCCTTGGATGTGTCACTCCAATAAATACAAGACGTGCTACATTTTCTTTTGTGCAGAGCTTTCTGCCTTCATGTGGAGAGAGGATCATGTATCTAAGGGTAGAGGAGCTCTGAAGAGGACATAGCAACTGAAAAGTGCGACCACCCTTAGGAGGAGGTCAATATTTTAGCTAAGAACCATGAATGAAAGACTATTGCTGTCTGGGTGAGGTGGCTCCCACCTGTAATCCCAGCACTTTGGGAGGCTGAGGCAGGCAGATCACCTGAGGTCAGGAGCTTGAGACCAGCCTGGCCAACATGGTGAAACCCTGACTGAAAATACAAAAATTAAGCCGGGAATGGCAGCATACACCTGTAATCCCAGCTACTTACGAGGCTGAGGCACGAAGAATCACCCGAGCCTGGGGGACGGAGGTTGCAATGAGCTGAGATCCTACCACTGCACTCCAGCCTGAGCAACCGAGTGAGGCTGTCTCAAAAAAAAAAGAAAAAAAAAGATTCCTGAGCGGTAAATTTCGCTAACTGAAAGAACCCTTTACCAATTTGACCCTACCTGTTGAAAATACAGAATAATTTTTTGTCTTCAATGTTGGAGATTCGTCATTGTTCTTACCCAAAGAAAGACTTTGTGCATTTAGACGTAAAATGTTACTGATCACTGTTCCTAGCTCTAAATGAAGTTTGCCTAGACTGAGCCACAGAAGCCTCCTACTACATGATGTATATACCCTGTACAAGATAATAGTCATTTGCAGAAAATAAGTTTTACATTTGGCCTTCTGGCCATCTGATATTTGAGTGCCTTGAAAGGGGAAACAATTCTTCCCTTGAGGAAGAAGTGCTCCCATACTCTTGCATTCTTAGCAGTAGGGTCAATGTCTTACAGGAATATAAAAGTCCTTGAAGAGACATCTGTTAAGTGTGAAATAGAGCTACATGGCAATAAAAGAAGACACAGCACGAAGTAATGGCCTGATTGAGGTCAACTTCGAACATGAGGTTTGAGGTGTCCTATAGCAATAAAGTATCTTCAAAGTTGTTTATGATAGTAAAAACATCTTGCAGTTTAATTCCATGTGCAATTTGCTAAATGAGCGTGAAAGTATAGCCATACATACATAACACTCAACAATACAATCATGAAAGTCGGCTGCAGGCCGGGCGCGGTGGCTCACGCCTGTAATCCCAGCCCTTTGGGAGGCCAAGGCGGGCGGATAACCTGAGGTCAGGAGTTCGAGACCAGCCAACATGGAGAATCGCTTGAACCCGGGCGGCGGAGATTGCAGTGATCCCAGAATCCGAGATGGGGACTGTACTCCAGCCTGGGCAACAGAACAGACTCTGCTAAAAAAAAAAAAAAAAAAAAAAGTCGGCTGCAGACGGCGAAAGTGATCTCGGAACCTTTATGTTGGGGATCTTTTTTCGGGAGGGACCGGAAAAGAGGTGGGATCGTTTGTCGCGATGTGGAGTGGCCGTAAGCTGGGCTCCTCCGGGGGTTGGTTTTTAAGAGTGCTGGGGCCTGGAGGCTGTAATACAAAAGCTGCGCGTCCCTTAATTTCCTCGGCGGGTGAGTGTGTGTGCGGAGGTCCTTCGCATGCAGTCAATTGCGAGCGCTGGCGTCTCTGCGCATGCGCCGGGGGTGGGGCGGTGGGTTGTCTCTGGACCTCGCGAGGGGTCAGCGCGAAACCTAAGGCTTGGTCCTGGCCCCATCTCTCTCCATTGTAAACCTCGCATAGTCCCGTTGGCGGACGCCGGGGAAAAGAGCTCAGGACCAGTGGTCCTGTCTGGAAAAGCGCAGGCCGCGGGTCTCTTGTGGCTGAGCTCCTTGCCCCAGGAGCCGGCGACCCGCTCTGCGTGTGCTGCAGTCTGAAGGTCATGCATCTTTCCTTTGCCGGGGCAGGAATAACTCACGCCTCGTAGTTATGCATAGCTTTGTATCTGTGTTTTGTTTGCACAAAGCTTGCTGTTTTTTTCAGAAAGAATTTAAGGCAGCTGTATTACTTTTTGATTAATAGGTTAATCCAACAGACTGCATTTGCAAATGAGATCAAGAAAATAATGCACTGCTCAGTGCTTGTAGACAGCAGTCTGATTTTCGAACTCTCAGTATTAAGTAGAAACTTAAGCTCATCTTTCACATGGAACTCTTAACAAATACTGTATGCCAGACACTGGTATGAGCACTGGGAATTTAAAAATGAATGACACCGCAAGGATCTCTTTAAAAATGTTAGGATAAACCTAAGATCAGGATATAATGAACAAAAAAATGGGGAATCTAACCGCCCATTAATAAAGGTTATTAGTTGGTACTATCATACAGTGAAAAATAGTACAGCCAATAAAAATGATTTAAATCTATTTGTACCCACATGGAAAAGTAGTAAGATATAGTGTTAAGAAAGTAAAGTTTCATTGTTTCCTGGAAGGAGCCAAAAAAAAAAAAAAGTTACAAATCAGTATGTATAGTGAACTTGGAGTTACAGGTGGAGATATATAGAGAAATTTTGCAGTGATTGCCTGTGGTAGAGTAGGTGATTTTCTATCATTTTATCCTTTATATACTTTTCTTTTTCTGAACTTTTTTTAGTAAACATGTGTCTTTTATAATCAAAAATTTAGAAAAGATATAATAAACCTAGTTCCAATTTTTGAGGGGTGAACATAGAAGGAGCATTTAATCCATATTTGGGATCAAGGAAACTTCTTGAATGGGATATTTAGAGAAATCTTGAAGGAGGTGGCCAGTTTTAGAAGCAGTTGGTCGAGACAGGCAGCTCACTTGAGGTCAAGTGTTCGAGACCAGCCTGGCCAACATGGTGAAACCCTATCTACTAAAAATACAAAATTAGCTGGGCGTGGCGGCAGGCGCCTGTAATCCCAGCTACTCGGGAGGCTGAGGCAGGAGAATCGCTTGAACCTGGGAGGCAGAGGTTGCAGTAAGCCAAGATCACACCATTGCACTCCAGCCTGAGCAACAGAGTGAGACTCTGTCTCAAAAAAAAAAAAAAGCAGTTGGAGAGGGGAAAGGACCAGCTCGAGAATCTGTGAGAAAGTTTGTGAGAAACTGCAAGGTTCCTTGAAAAGTAAAGTGTGTAGGTGGAGGGCAGAAGGTAAAGGCAGGGGGTGGCAAGGGATGAGGAAGAGGCCTTTTTGGCCATGACACATTCATGAAAGGCCATTTACACCTCCTGAGGTAGACTATCCCGCGGACAGTGGAAATCACTGAAGAAGCAACATGAACAGATTTATGTTTAAGAAATAACACTTGGCAGCTGTCTACATAGAATGTGGGATGGAGTCAGGCAAGTCTAGGCCCAGGAAGACCTTAGAGCAATCCAGACAGTAAATTATCATTGCTGGAAATAAAGTATTGGTAGGGTAAAAGTCTGTCACCTGTTTTATTCACCATCAGCATGGTGCCTGGTAGGTGCTGAATAAATGACTTTTCAATAAATAAAATGAAAAAAACCTTTTCCCATTCCTTTAAAATTTCAAATACCAGGATGATCACAGATTCAAGGTAGAGAAGGAATTGGTAGCATTCTGTTTAAATACAAACTCAATTACTCTCTTTCCGTTGTGGTAAGGTGGTAGAGTGGTTTTTATTTTTACTTTTTAGATTAATTAATTTTTTTTTTTGAGAAAAGGTCTTGCTCTGTATCCCAGGTTAGAGTGCAGTGGCATGACCACAGTTCACGGCAGCCTTGGCCTCCCTGGCTCAATTGGTCCTCCCACCTCAGCCTCCCAAGTAGCTGGGACTACAGGCAGGCACCACAATGCATGGCTAATTTTTATATTTTTAGTAGAGAAGGGGTTTCACCACATTGTCCAGGCTGGTCTTGAACTCCTGGGCTCAAGCAGGCCGCCCACCTTGGTCTCCCAAAGTGATGGGATTACAGGCATTGAGCCACTGCGTCTGGCCTAAGATGATTTTTAAACCTCTTGAGAATTGTAGCAATACTGATGACTTAGGGATTCATTTTCCAGAAATAGAGGAGGTAAGAGAGAGATCAAGGGTTGTCTGTCCGTAAAAGCAGATATTGTTAAAATTTCTAAGGCTTAGTTTCATAATAGTAATACCTTATATGTCGTTATCGATGTATCATGGTTTACATAGTTAAACTTTATTCTTTAATAATATCTCATGTATCTACCTAAAGTCATACAGGAGGTGATATTTGAACTGGGTCTTAAAAGGTAGTCCAGATAGAGTTGGTGGAAAGGGAAATAAAATGAACAAAAGCCTGGCCGAGCACCTTTAATCCCGGCACTTTGGGAGGTCGAGGCAGGTGGATCGCTTGAGCTCAGGAGTTTGAAACCAGCCTGGGCAACATAGCAAAACCCTGTCTCTACAAAAAAAAAAATACAAAATTTAGCCAGGCATGGTGGTGTGCTTCTGTGGACCTCGCTACTGGATAGGCTAAGGTAGGAGGATTACTTGAGCCCAGGAGGTAGAGGCTACAGTGAGCCGTGAACCCACCACTGCACTCCAGCCTGGGCAACACAACGAGACCCTGTCTCATAAATAAATAAATAAATAAATAAATAAATAAATAAATAAAATGAGCAAAAGCCTAGACACATGAACTTTATTAAAAAAGAACATTGTAATGGGTTTGGGATGGACTGTGAAGGGCTGATTAAAAAATAAAACCAAATAAACATAAGCTCAGGAGAAAAGTATGCAGAGACTACAAAAAGACAAGATGTGAAATATAAATGACCACTAAACATAAGAAAGGATGCTTAACCTCATTCATGATAAATTGAAACTACATTAACTGGGCACGGGGCCCATGTTTATAGTGCCAGCTACTCGAGGGGCTGAGGTGGGAGGATCGCTTGGGTGACCTTGGTGGAGGTTGTAGTGAGTGGAGATTGTTCCACTGCAGTCCAGCCCGGGTGACACAGTGAGACCCTGTCTCAAAAACAAAAACAAACAATTAAAACTACACTAAGATACCATTTTCATGTATTTGATTAGCAAACATAAAAATGTTTAACAAAGACTGGGCGCGTGGCTCACGCCTGTAGTCCCAGCACTTTGGGAGGCCGAGGCGGGTGGATCATGAGGTCAGGAGATCAAGACCATCCTGGCTAACACGGTGAAACCCGTCTCTACTAAAAATCCAAAAAATTAGCCAGGCGTGGTGGCGGGCACCTGTAGTCCCAGCTACTCGGGAGGCTGAGGCAGGAGAATGGCGTGAACCCGGGAGGCAGAACTTGTAGTGAGCTGAGATCTCGCCACTGCACTCCAGCCTGGGCGACAGAGCAAGACTCCGTCTCAAAAAAAAAAAAAAAAAGTTTAACATTGTATGGGTGACAGTGTGGGAAAACCAACAAGAGACACTCTCATAGATTACCGATAGGATAGTAAATTGGTTCAACATCTATTTAGTGGCAATTACAGATTTACAAATGCACGTACCCTTTGACATCATTCTTGAGATTTTACCTACAGGGACTCTGAAACACATATGAAATGAAATAACCTATGTAATTTAATCTCTAGTTGTTGTCGTTTTGAGACGGAGTCTCACTCTTTCGCCCAGGCTGGAGTGCGGTGGCGTGATCTTGCCCACTGCAATCTCCACCTCCCGGGTTCAAGTGATTCTTGTGCCCCAGCCTCCCAAGTAACTGGGACTACAGGCGCACCCCACCACGCCTGGCTAATTTTTGTATTTTTAGTAGAGACGGGCTAATGCCATGTTGGCCAGCCTGGTCTCAAACTCCTGACCTCAAGTGATCCGCCCACCTCAGCCTCCCAAACCGCTGGGATTATAGGCATGAGCCACCACACCCGGCCCTAATCTCATAGTTTTGATAATTACCCAAATGCTCATTATTAGGGAACTGCTTAAATAAATAATATAGCCATACAATGAATTATCACACAGCCTTTTAAAAAATATGAAATAATTTCCAAGATATGTTGGTAGGTGAAGAGAAACATTCAGAATGAGTGTATTGTGCTACATTTTATATAAAATGAGAGAAACTGATACTTTAAAATGATTGCATATGTATAAAATGCCTCTGGAATCTTACATACAAATCTAGTAGGATTGGTTGTTTATAGGGAGAGAAACTAGATAGCTACAGTCAGGGCTGGGAGAGATACTTTGTACTGTACCCTTTTGTACTTTTTGATTTTTTAAATTTTTTATTTTGAAATAATTTAAGACACAAGAAGTGGCAAAAATAGCACAGAGAGGCTGGGTGCGGTGGCTCACGTCTGTATTCCCAACACTTTGGGAGGCTGAGGCGGGCAGATCACTTGAGGTCAGGAGTTTGAGATCAGGCGGGTCAACATGGCGAAAGCCTGTCTCTACTAAAAATACAAAAAGTTAGCCGGGCATGGTGGCGTGTGCACCTGTAGTCCCAGTTACTTGGGAGGCTGAGCTGGATAATCACTTGAAACTGGGAGGCAGAGATTGCAGTGAGCTGAGATCATGCCTCTGCAGTCCAATTTGGGCGACAGAGTGAGAGACCCTATTCCCCCCAAAAACAAAACAAAACAAAAACCCCAAACACACAGAGAGAATTTCCATGTACTATTCACCCAGTTCCTTGGTGATACCATCCATAGTACATTGTTGAAGCCAGGAAATCAACTTTAGTATGATAATTGACTCCACTACAGACCTTATTTGGTTTTTGCCAACTGTACATGCACTCATTGTGGGAGAGAGTGAGGATGTGGGTGTGTGTGTGTGTGTGTGTGTGTGTGTGTGTGTGTGTGTGTGCGTGTATACATTAGTGTTTTATTTATTTACTTATTTAGTTTTTGAGATGGAGTTTCGCTCTTGTCACCCATACTGGAGTGTAATGGTGCGATCTTGGCTCACTGCAACCTCTGCCTCCTGGGTTCAAACAATTCTCCTGCCTCAGCCTCCTGAGTAGCTCGTATTACAGGTTCCCACCACCACACCTGGCTAATTTTTTTATTTTTAGTAGAGACGGAGTTTCACCATGTTGGCCAGACTAGTCTCAACCTCCTGACTTCAAGTGATCCACCTGCCTCAATCTCCCAAAGTGCTGGGATTACAGGCATAAGCCACCGCGCCAGGCCTATTTTGCCTTTCCATATAAATTTTAAAATCAGCATGTCTGTGTCTATCAAAAAAAAAAGGCTATTGAGATTTTGATAGGAATTGTATTAAATGTGTAGGACAATTTGGGGAGAACTGATCTTTTTACTATGTTGAATTTTCCAATATGTCTCACGTTTATTCTTTGATTTCTTTCATCAGTGTTGTGTAATTTTAAGCATATAGATTCTGTACATGTTTTTGTTTGATTTATGCAACAATGAATTTTTTTGAAATGATTTAAAATGATAAAGTATTTTACATTTTGAATTTTGCCTTCCACTTGTTCATTGTTAATATATAGAAACAAGACTGACTTTTTTGTGTTGCCTTTGTAATCTTTGAGCTTTCTTTTTTTATTTTATTTTATTTTATTTTTTTGGAGATGGAGTTTCGCTTTTGTTGCCCAGGCTGGAGTGCAATGGTGCGACCTCTGCTCACCGCAACCTCCGCCTCCTGGGTTCAAGCAATTCTCCTGCCTCAGCCTCCCGAGTAGCTGGGATTACAGGCATGTGCCACTATGCCCGGCTAATTTTGTATTTTTAGTAGAGACAGGGTTTCTCCATGTTGGTCAGGCTGGTCTCGAACTCCCAACCTCGGGTGATCCACCCGCCTCGGCCTCCCAAAGTGCTGGGATTACAGGTGTGAGCCACTGTGCGGCCTGTAATCTTTGACCTTTCTGAATTCACTTATTATTTCCAGGAGCTTTTTAAAGATTTCTTGGTATTTTCTACATAGACAATAGGGACAGTTTAATTTCTTTCTTAACATTCTATATATCTTTTATTTCCTTTTCTTGCCTCATTGCACTGAATAAGACTTTCAGTACAATGTTGAATAACAGTAGTGAGAATGGATGTGTTTACCTTGTTTCTGATTTTAGGGGGAAAGGGCTTAGTCTTTCATCATAAAGTACTATGTGAGCTATAGGTTTTTATAGCTGTTTTGTAAGATAATTTCCCTTTCATTCTTAGTTTGCCAAAAGTTTTTAATCATAATGGATATGGATTTTGTTAAATGCTTTGTCTGTATCAATCAACATGATTATGTTTGGTATTTGTTTTGTTTTGGTTTTTGGTTTTCATTTGTTTGTTTTTTGAGACAGTGTTGCTCTGTACCCTAGGCTGGAGTGCAGCGGTGCAATCATGGCTCACTGCAGCCTCTACCTCTCAGGCTCAAACAGTCTTCCCATCTCAATCCCCTTAGTAGCAAGGACCATGGGTGCACACCACTATACCTGGCTAATTTTTTAAGTTTTTCTGTAGAGATAGGGTCTCACCATGTTGCCCAGACTTGTCTCAAACTCCTGGGCTCAAACAATCTTGACTCTTCAGCCTCCCAAAGTGCTGGAACTACAGGTGTGAGCCACCCTGCCTGGTGTATTTCTCTTTTTTATTGTTAATATGGTCGATTATATTAACTGCTTTTTAACATTGAACTAGTGTTGCATACCTGGAATAAATCTCACTTGGTTGTGCTGTATTCTTCTATTTGTATGTTGCTGAATTATATTGTGGTAATATTTGCTAAGAATTTTTGTGTCTGTTCCTGAGAGGAATTGGTCTGTAGTCTTTGCTGTACTCTTTGATTTTTGTATCAGAGTAATGTTGGCTTCATAAAATGGCCTGGGAAGTATTCCTTACCCTTCTATTTTTTTAAGAGATTAAGTAGAATTGGTTGTTATCTCTTTAAGTGTTTGGTAGAATTCACCAGCGAAGCCATCCGAGACTGGAGATTTGTTTTTCAGGCTTCTAACTATGAATCCAATTTCTTTAGTAGTTATCAGTTATTCAGGCTCTCTATATGAATTTTGGTAGTTTGTGGTTTTTATGGAATTAGTCCATTTTGTCTAAATTGTAGAATTTCTGAGTGTAGAGTTATGTGTAGTATTCCCTTATCAACCTTTTAATGTCTATCAGAGCTATAGTGATATCCTTTCTTTATTTCTTGATATTGGTGATTTACATCTTTTCTTTGTCAGCCTTGCTAGAGGCTTATCAATTTTATTGATTTTTGCGGTGAATTAACTTCAGGTTTGATGTATTTTCTCCGGCTTTGTTTTGTTTACAATGTCATTGATTTTCATTTTTATTTATTTATTTGTTTATTCATTTTTTGAGACAGAGTCTCACTCTGTCACCCAGGCTGGAGTGCAGAGGAGCCATCTCGGCTCACTGCAACCTCTGCCTCCCAGGTTCAAGCAATTCTTGTGCCTCAGCCTCCAGAGTTACTGGAATTACAGGCATGTGCCACCATGCCTGGCTAATTTTTGTATTTTTAGCAGAGATAGGCTTCTATCATGTTGACCAGCCTGGTCTCGAACTCCTGACCTCAAGTGATCCACTTGCCTTGGCCTCCCGAAGCTCTGGGTTTACAGATGTGAGCCCCCTCACCCGGCTGATTTCTATTTTTTATCATTTTCTGATTTCTGCTTGCTTGCTTGCTTTGTGTTTATTTTGCTCACCTTTTTCTAGTTCTTGAGGTCGAAACTTAGATTGTTGATTCGAGGCCTTTCTTCCTTTTCTTTTTTCTTTTCTTTTCTTTTTTCTTTTCTTTTTTTTTTTTTTTTTGAGACAGAGTCTTCCTCCATTACCCAGGTGGGAGTGCAGTGGCGCAATCTTGGCTCACTGCAACCTCCATCTCCCAGGTTCAAGCGATTCTTCTGCCTCAGCCTCCCGGGTAGCTGGGACTACAGGTGTGTACCACCATCCCCAGCTAATTTTTGTATTTTTAGTAGAGACAGGGTTTTACCATGTTGGCCAGGCTGGTCTTGAACTCCTGACCTCATGTGATCTGCCTGCCTCGGCCTCCCAAAGTGCCCAAAGTGCTGGGATTACAGGTGTGAGCCACCATTCCTGGCCCTTTCTTCCTTTTCAATATGATTATTTTAGTGATATAAATTGACCTCTCAGTGCTCCTTTAGCTATATCTGCTGATTTTTATATGTAGTACATTTATTTTCATTTACTTCAATTTTTAAAATATCCCTGAGACTTGTCTTTGACTTATGGATTGTTTAGAAGTGTGTTGTTTAATTTCCAAGTGTTTTGCTTTTTACCGTTATTTTTCTATTATTTATTTGATCTTATTACATTCAAAACTATAGTTTGTGTGATTTCACTTAAAGTTATGAAGATTTGTTTTGTGTCCCAGGATATGGTCTATCTTTATGAATGTTCCATGCATGCTTGAAAGAATGTATATTTTGTTGTTTGGGGGAAGTGTTTCACACATTTTAAGTAGATTTTATTGAATAATGGTCTTGTTCTGTTCTTCTTTATCCCTGCTGGTTTTCTATCCAGTGGTTCTATCAATTACTGAGAGAAGAGTGTTGAAGTCTCCAACTTACAATTGTGGATTTGTTTATTTCTCATTTCATTTCTGTGAGTCTTTATGTGTTTTGAAATTCTGTTGTTGGTATGTACACATGTTTTTTGAGGCACAGTCTTGCTCTGTCGCCCAGGCTGGAGTACAGTGGCTTGATCTCAGCTCACTGCAGCCTCTGCCTCCCGGGTTCCAGTGATTCTCCTGCCTCAGCCTCCTGGGTAGCTGGGATTACAGGCACATGCCACCATGCCTGGCTAATTTTTGTATTTTTAGTGGAGACAGTGTTTCACCATGTTCACCAGGCTGGTCTTGAACTCATGACCTCAGGTGATCTGCTTGCTTCAGCCTCCGAAAGTGCTGGGATTACAAGCGTGAGCCACTGCGCCTTGCTGGTGCATACACATTTAGTATTGCTTTTTCTTCTTGGTGGATTATCCCTTTTATTGTGATGTAATGCCCCTCTTTGTTTCTGGTACTTTCTTTGCTCTAAAGTCTACTTTGTCTGAATGTTTATTGAACAACTGAGTGTTCTGCAACACAGCTGCTGGCTCATAAAGCAGGCCCCTGTGTAAGTTGAGCATATAGACTGGGTGAATGTTTATTTTAGGTTTTATATATACACATACATTTTTTTTCCTCTGTAAAGGGTATTGAGCATATGCAAAAATTCATTTCATGTAGCTAATATGGAATTGACAGAATTTGAAATAGTTTTGACAAATAATTTCAGAATTAATATTATCCTAGTTTAAAACATAACACTTTATATTTGAATATCATTCCTGTCATTTTATGTACATAATGTAGATGTAAAAACTAATGGCATGAAAAACTTTATAAACAGATGCATTACTTGTTTTGGCTAATTACAATTTTAGAAATGTCTGGGTTAGAGTTAGATACCAGAATGTAAGACCTTTATTTTATTTTATTTTTTAGGTAAAATCTTAAATTAAGTAAAAAACAAACAAAAACCCTTTGTTTATCAATTGTAATGTAACAGTATTACCATATAAAATAAAATTTTGTCCAGGCCCAGTAAATCCCAGCACTTTGGAAGGTTGAGACAGGAGTATCCCTTGAGCCCAGGAGTTTCAGACCCAGCCTGAGCAACATAGAGAGACCCCATCTCAACAACAATAACAACAAAAATGAGCTGGGCCTGGTGGCCTGCGCTTGTAGTCCCCGCTACTTGGGAAGCTGAGGCGGGAGGATTGCTTGAGCCCAGGAGGTGGAGGCTACAGTGAGCCATGATTGTGCCATTACACTCCAACCTGGGTGGCAGAGCAAGACTATAAAATAAATAATAAAATAAAATAGAATCTTCAATTACATGCATATCAGGGATTCTTACTGTGCAAAGCTTTTCTCTAGATATTTAATTTTTTTTTTCAGTTTATGTGAAGAACCAGCTCAGTGGGACTCTACAGATTAAACCAGGGGTTTTCAATGAATACAGAACCATATGGTTCAAATCCTACAGGACGATCTTTTCCTGTTTGAACAGAATAAAGAGTTTCAGGTGGGTTTATTATTACTGTGGCAAATATTCACGTAATTATATGTAATAGGTTTTTAGTATTATCTTTAATAAACCCAGTCAGTATGTAATAGTCCATGTGTCTTGATTAAAGTAGCTTGTGTTTATTTAAGTAGTCTCAACTAATTTATTTTCTAACAATTTTTAAATTTGGGGAGTTTCAAACCCACAGAAACGGTAATAGAATAATACAGTATATAGACAATAAACAACCTTCATTCAGATTCAGAGATAGCTTTTGTTTTCAATATAAGGCTATTACTTAGAGAAGAATTTTTATTTCCTCATAATGTCCTTATGACAAGACACAAACAATGCAGTGCTTAAAATCATAAATATTACTTATAATACCTAATACAATATTTTAAAATTTTTAGAAATCATAAGTGATTTGGGTGCTGCATAAATATGATAAGGTGGCTAAGGTAGCAAAATTGATTGAAGGTAATATCTTTCTGTATTTGTATTTTATAAGCCAACTTTTAACCTTGTGAAAATATTGCACAGCATTAATACTTGAACTCTGTTTTTTGTTGTTGTTGTTTTGAGGTGGAGTTTCACTTCTGTTGCCCAGGCTGGAGTACAATGGTGCGATCTTGGCTCACTGCAACCTCCACCTCCCGGGTTCAAGCGATTCTCCTGCCTGAGCCTCCCGAGTCATTGGGATTACAGGTGCCCGCCACCACAGCCAGCTAATTTTTTTTTCTTTTTTTCTTTTTTTTTTTGTGACAAGAGTTTCACTCTTGTTGCCCAGGCTGGAGTGCAAAGGCACGATCTCGGCTCACTGCAACTTCCGCCTTCCAGGTTCAAGCACTTCTCCTGCCTCAGTCTCCTGAGTAGCTGGGATTACAGGCATGCACCACCACACCCGGCTAATTTTGTATTTTTAGTAGAGAAGGGGTTTCACCATGTTGGCTAGGCTGGTCTTGAACTCCTGATCTCAGGTGATCCACCCACCTCAGCCTCCCAAAGTGCTGGGATTACAGGCATGAGCCACCGCGCCCAGCCTTGAACTCTGTTTTCTAAGTGCTTGTTCCTCCTTGTAAATGAGCCCCTTTGAGTTTGGGTTTATATGAAATCATTCTTAGTCAAATGAGCAACCACCTACTGTTACCTATTGTAAATTAGTCCTTGATTACTGAGGCTTTGCATTAAGCATGGACAAGGGGGCTAATATTCCTAAGATAATATTAATATTAAAGAGGAATGACACTTGAATCTTAAAAGAATAAAAAGTAATGAATATAGAATATGCTCTCTTTATGTGGCTAAAAACAAACTTAATAAAAATGTGAATGGCATTACCTTTTCTAAGTTAACATCCTTACTATGTTTTACCTGAGCAGCCCTTTGAAGGATTTTTCTATACTATATGCTTCTACATGGAAGTCAGTGTAGTGTCTATCTAATCCCTCTTTACTCCTGTTTGATCCCATTTAATTAAATAAAATTTTAGGCAAATTATATACTTTCCTGGGCTTTTTCCTTCAGATTATTCATTTGCCAAGTGCTTCCTGAGCACCATGTTCCAGGAACTGTACTAGTCACTAAGAATAAAATGGTAAGGAAGACAGTCCATGCCTTGCCTTCATAGTGCTTGTGGTCTAGTGGAAGACAGACATGATCGATCAGATAATCACATAGCCCCATGAAGAAGTACAAAGTGGTATAGGAGCTAAAATAGGGGGACAGGGGATGAGGGGAACATGACCCAGTTTTGAGGATCAAGGAAGATTCTTTTTTTTTTTTTTTTTGAGACAGAGTCTTGCTCTTTCACCCAGGCTGGAGTGCAGTGGCATGATCTCAGCTCACTGTAGCCTCCACCTCCCTGCTTCAAGCAATTCTCGTGCCTCAGCCTCCCAAGTAGCTGAGATTATAGGCACCTGCCACCACACCTGGCTAATTTTTGTATTTTTAGTAGAGACTGGGTTTCACCATGTTGGCCAGGCTGATCTGGAACTCCTGACCTCAGGTGATCCACCTGCCTCAGCCTTCCAAAATGCTGCGATTACAGACGTCAGCCACCACATGCAGCAGATCAGGGAAGATTCTTAGATAACATTCCATTGAAACTAAGATCTGAAGGATGAGAAGGAATCAATTAGGTGTTTGGGAAAGGAAAGGAAGGATGTGGGAAGAATGTTCCAGGCAGAGGGGACAACCTATTTGAAGTGCCTGAGGAAAGAGCATGCATGGCCAGTCCAAAGAACTGAAAAAGGACCCATGTGGTTGGAGTGGGAAGGATGAGGAGAATAGAAGGAAGTGAGTTTGGAAAGGGAGAAAACTGGGAACTAAATAATTCAGAACTTTGTAAACTATGCTAAGGATTTTGGTCTTTTTTCTAATGGCACTGGGAAGATATGGAAGCATTTTATTCAGGAAAATAACAATCAAATTTGTATTTTGGAACAATCACTCTAGATGCATCATGGAGAACAGATTGGAAAGGGATGAGGTAGGAATCAGCTACCAGTTAGAAGGCTAGGACACTAGTTCAGGCAAGAGATGATGGGTGCTTGCGTTAGAATTATGGCAGTAGAAATGGAGCAGAGAAGATGGAGGCACCTGTGCTCAAATCCCAGCTCTACAATTTACTTAATCTCTCTGAGCCTCCCTTTTCTTATCTGTAAAATAGGGATAATAATAATACCCACCTTGCAGAGTTGTTGGAAGGATTAAGTGAGGTAATATATGTGGAGCTCTTAAACAATACCTGGAATTTAATAAGTGCTCAATAAATGGTAGCTATTATTATTATTTATTTATTTATTTTGAGACAGAGTCTCACTCTGTCGCCGAGGCTGGAGTGCAGTGGCTCAATCTCTACTCACTGCAACCTCCACCTCCCGGATTCAAGCGATTCTCCTGCCTCAGCCTCCTGAGTAGCTGGGATTAGAGGTACCCACTACCATGCCCAGCTAATTTTTATATTTTTAGTAGAGACAGGGTTTCACTAAGTTGGTCAGGCTGGTGACCTCTTGATCTGCCCCTTTCGGCCTCCCAAAGTGCTGGGATTACAGATGTGAGCCACTGCACCCTGCCAGCTATTAGTATTGTTATTGTTATTATTATTAGATATGACCCAGAAGGCTAAGTTTTATAAAGTTCTGTTTTGAATTGAAACTTACTTGAAAAGTAATTTTGTTTCGTCTGTGAATAGATGTATTTATATGCAGTGTGATTATAAGAAAACTTGGTTTTAAAGCATCAATATTGAGCAGTATACAGATTTAGAATATAATAAATTGTAAATAAGACTATCTTTCTACATAATATCCCATGTTAAACATTTCTTCAAAACAGCAGTATTTGCTTGGTTCTTCATTTTCACCTTTTAGGTACCCTTGGGCGAGACTGTACAGTACTTCCCAAACCACTGTCGACAGCGGTGAGGTAAAAACCTTCTTGGCCCTGGCTCACAAATGGTGGGATGAACAAGGAGTATATGCACCTCTTCATTCCATGAATGACCTGAGGGTGCCATTTATTAGGTAACACTCCAGAAACTCTAAGTCTTTTTAAATGGAACTTTTTAAGAATTCATATTTCACATTCATTTTTTTCTTAGTTTATACCTAGTTAAAAAATGCTGCACATTAAGTTTGCTTTGGAAATTAGGGAGATTCTTTTCAATTACCACTGTTTGAAACCATTAATTTTTAATAATATCATGCAAGGTCAAGGCTGCTTTCATAGCTTAATTTGAAGCCTATTTGTATATTATCAAGTTAATTATAATTAAGTTCTTATAAAAGCAAACTAGGGTCTTATGGCATCAAGGCCATTTTATTTATTTTATTATTTATTTAATTATTTTTTTTTTTGAGATGGAGTCTTGCTCTTGTCACCCAGAGGGGAGTGCAATGTCACCGTCTTGATTCACTCCAACCTCCACCTCCTGGTTTCAAGCGATTCTCCTGCCTCAGCCTCCTGAGTAGTTGGGATTACAGGCATCTGCCACCATGCCCAGCTAATTTTTGTATTTTTAGTAGAGACAGGGTTTCACTATGTTGGCCAGGCTGATCTCAAGCTCCTGACCTTAGGTGATCTGCCTGTCTCAGCCTCTCCAAGTGCTGGGATTACAGGCATGAGCTACCGTGCCTGGCCCAAGGCCATTTTATAACTACAGACCTACAGTGGCATCATTGACTTAGGCAGTTCTGGTAAAGTTTGATTCAACAAATTTTTTTGAGAACTTACCTCATACAGAGCTCAGGGGCTAGACTGTAAAAGACTCTAAGATGAATGAAACATAATCTTTGTGCTTCGGGAACTTATAGGTTGCTGTGGAAGTTAAAGAAAGGCAAGAGTACATCAGGGCTTACATTTAAGAAAACTGGACACCATTCTCACTTAACGTGAGAATTCTCACTTAACGTGATGAATTAGAAAAGCATCCAAATTGTTTATCCCTTTAAAAATATTTTTTATCAGTGAGTTGCAAAACTGTTTCTTAAAACGTATTTCTAGGTAAGTAATTTCTGAAAGGCTCCAACCATTAAGATTTAGTATGAGGGGCGAGGGATAGCATTAGGAGATATACCTAATGCTAAATGACGAGTTAATGGGTGCAGCACACCAACATGGCACATGTATACACATGTAACAAACCTGCACGGTGTGCACATGTACCCTAAAACTTAAAGTATAATAATAATAAAATAAAATAAAATAAAAAATAAAGGGAACTGCAAGGGAGCAGCTACAAGCAAAATGTAAAAAAAAAAAAAAGAAAGAAATTGTTCATTTGTTCCTCTGTCCATTTATGTATTCATCAAACAATTTTGGGCAAAGCACTGTAACAGACACAGAATATCTGACTCAGACTTTGCCCTCAAGGAACTTCCTGGTTGGTTTTTGCTGGTTCATCCAGAATTAGTATACCAAAAAGAGAAATACTGACATCCTTTAATACCACTGACAAAGCAAAGCAAAGAAAAACAGAAATGTCATTCTTGTAAGCTAGAACACTGGGTCTCAAAGTGTAGGCCCTGGACAGTGACATTAGTTCACCTAGGAGCTCATTAGAAATGCAAATTATCACGTCTCATCAGGGACCTACTGCTCTGGGGAGGGGTCAGCACTCCATTTTAAGCAAACTTTACGTGATTCTGATGTATACTAAGTTTGGGAATTACTCTGTTCAAACTACGAGACACCTTTAACTAGAGATCACACATAATAACCCAGGGCAGTGCAAGCTATGGTTAAAGTTTAGATTTTATTTTGAGCATAATTAGAACCCATCGAAGGAAAGTGATATGATCTAAATTATGATGTAAAGGAGTCATTTTAGCTGTGGTTTAAACAATGGATCGACTTCATTTGAAATGGGTCTTTTCTGTATGTTATAACTTTCCAAAATGATCTACTTAACCACTATCCATGTTATTCTTAGAATTCAATTAACTTTAATGGCAATAGAAGATATCTTAAGATATCCTCATTATGAATAATATTTATTTTAATATAAGTATAATTAAAATTTATACATAGTCCTCTCTCTCTCTCTCTCTCTCTAAATATATATATATATATATATATATATATATATATATATATATATATATATATGTTTAGTTTACAATACTGTTAGGTGTATATATACTTGTGTGTATATGTGTGTATACATATGTTTGTATAGGTAAAGTATTAACCGTGATTATCTTAGAAGTAAGTTTACTTGATTTAGATGCCTGTTTACATGCTCATACATGAAAACACCACTCATTTAGAAGATTAAAAGAAATTTTATTTTGAAGGGAATATAGACAAATTCTGAAAATATAGGTCTCCCATCTGCTTTTTCTAAGCTCTATAAAATAACCTATTTGCTGCTGACATGAAATGGGTCTAGCAAGTATTGACAGCAAAGCCAAAACGTGTGTCATGATATCTCAAGCAATTGAAATTAGGTTAATCTAGATTATTTTGAAATTTTTTCTTTATATTATTACTAAAACAATAATTAAGTCATAATTACTACTAGATTATTTCAGACCTTTAAGCATCCTGCTTTTGATTATTGAAAATGTTTTATAAATTAAATGTCAATGTTGAAAGATCTATTTATAAAAAAAATGAATAATTTATTTAAATGGAGGTTAATATTTCCTTGAAAACTACACACTTTGTGACTTTTCGTTGATAAAATTAATTATTTGTTTTGGTATGTTTTGAATTTTTTAAAAAAGGGACAATCTTCTGAAAACAATTCCTAATCACCAGCCAGGAAAACCTTTGTTGGGGATGAAGATTCTTGACGTTGGCTGTGGTGGTGGGCTGTTAACTGAAGTAAGTGACAGCTTTCCTGCCATTTTTAACTGGGAGAAAAAAATTAAGAAGTAGACTTGTGCCTCATTTATTCTTTCAACAAATAATATTATTCATTAAAAAAAGAAATGCATGTTGGGAGGCCAGGGTGGGTGGATCACCTGAGGTCTGGAGATCGAGACCAGCCTGACCAACATGGCGAAACCCTGTCTCTACTAAAAATACAAAAATTAGCCAGGTGTGGTGGCGGGCACCTGTAATCCCAGCTACTCGGGAGGCTGAGGCAGGAGAATCGCTTGAACCCGGGAGGCAGAGGTTGCAGTGAGCTGAGATTGAGCCACTGCACTCCAGCCTGGGCAACAGAGAGAGACTCTGTCACACATACACACACACACACACACACACACACACATCCATAATATTGATTTTAATCTTTTTTTTTTGAGACAGAGTTTCACTCTTGTTGCCCAGGCTAGAGTGCAATGGCATGATCTCAGCTCACTGCAACCTCCAACACCCAGGTTCAAGCAATTCTTCTGCCTCAGCCTCCCAACTAGCTGGGATTACGGGCTGCCGCCACCATGCCCAGCTAATTTTTAGTAGAGACAGGGTTTCACCATGTTGGCCAGGTTGGTCTTGAACTCCTGACCTCAGGTGATTCACCCACCTCTGCCTCCCAAAGTGCTGGGATTACAGGCGTGAGCCACCGTGCCTGGCCAACCTGTGTTTAAAAACTTGGGCATGTCATGGGAAATGACTAAATAAAAAAGCTGAGAGAAGAATTAGCTATGAAAAATCATTTCTAGTCAGAGAAAAAAACTTTTGAGAAAAGATTGTTCTTTAGAAAATTTGAATATTTCAGAAATGATTGCTGTTTTTTCAATGGCTTGTTACATTTATTGCACTTTAAATATGTTAATACTGTACTATGTGCAAGTAAGTGTATCTAGAGTACATAGACAAAGTTTTTTTCACTGTCTTCAAGTAGTTTTTTATCAGTTTTTTGTTGTTTTCATTGTTCTTCTTAACTTTAAGGGTTTGATTATGGAAAATTTCAAATGTGTACAAACTAGAGAAAATGGTATATGAGTTTCCATGTACCCATAAATGATGTCCAGTATTTATCACCTCATGGTTAATCTTGTTTCATTTTTGATAAGCTTTTTATTGCTAACATGTGCTCTATTTTCTTCCTGAGGGTAACAGTTTTTTTAATGCCATTAGCCTCTAGGGCGGCTTGGGGCTTCAGTTATTGGAATCGACCCTGTGGATGAGAACATTAAAACAGCACAATGCCATAAATCATTTGATCCAGTCCTGGATAAGAGAATAGAGTACAGAGTGTGTTCCCTGGAAGAGATTGTGGAAGAGACTGCAGAAACATTTGATGCTGTTGTAGCTTCTGAAGTTGTAGAACATGTGATTGATCTAGAAACATTTTTACAGTGCTGCTGTCAAGTGTTAAAAGTAAGGCTTATGGAGTTTACATCTTGGTTTCTTCTTCTGAGTGTGTGTATTTGTATCTATAGCAATAAAATGGTCCATAATGCATTAGCAGTCCAGCAGGCAAGGTATAGTAGAGAAGAAACCAGGAAGCCTGGATGAGGGGACAGCATCTCTGCTGTAGATTTCTTCTACTCCTCAGCTTGCCCTCAATACCAGGGTCTTCCTGTGTCCTATTAATATCTTGGATGTCCAGGGATCTTGAAAAATGCTGGTGCTGGCTGGATATGGTGGCTTATGCCTGTAATCCCAGCACTTTGGGAGGCCAAGGTGGGCAGATCACTTGAGGCTAGGAGTTGGAGATTAGCCTGGGTAACATGGTGAAACCCCATCTCTACTAAAAATAGAAAAAATTAGCTGGACATGGTGGTGCATGCCTATAATTCCAGATACTCAGGAGACTGAGGTACAAGAATTGCTTGAACCCTGGAGGTGGAGGTTGCAGTGAGGCGAGATCGTGTCACTGCACTCCAGCCTGGGCAACAGAGTGAGACCCTGTCTCAAAAAAAAAAAAAAAGAAAAATATTGGTGCTGAACACGGGAAAACCATACACTTATAGCAGTATTTTTCCACTGGTGCAGTCGGGATTAAATACTTAACAGATATTGAATGACAATTATAAGACATTGATTTGAGGCTGGGCACAGTGGCTCACACCTGTAATCCCAGCACTTTGGGAGGCGGAGGCGGGTGGATCACCTGAGGTTGGGAGTTTGAGACCAGCCTGACCAACATGGAGAAACCCCGTCTCTACTAAAAATACAAATTAGCCAGGCGTGGTGGCGCATGCCTGTAATCCCAGCTACTTGGGAGGGTGAGGCAGGAGAATTGCTTGAACCCGGGAGGCAGAGGTTGCAGTGAGCCGAGATTGTGCCTGGGCAACAAGAGCGAAACTGTCTCAAAAAAAAAAAAAAAAGAAAGAAATTGATTTGGATGAATACTTAAACATCAATAAAAATAATTATTAGCATAAGTTTAATTAAATAACAAGTAATTCTGTACATGGTAAATGCGTAATAGTTTTCAGCTTATAAAAGAATATTTCATAAATGTGATCTCACTTGATCTTACCTACAACTAGATGAGGAAGGAAAGGCAGGTATTGTTATCACATCCTTTCACCTACGAGGACTCAGGATTTATCAGATGTCAGAGGTCTCTAGGCATTTAAGTGGGGCTTAAGGCCAGACCATTTGACTCCAAGTTTGGTTCTCTCCATTACTTACTATGCTTATATAGTATAATTTACAACAGACTTTGTTCTCTGAATGTGGCTGTAAGTTTTCTTTTAATAAATACCCCTAAAGTATTATTATTATTACTATACTGACTCTGTCGTTCACATATTTAGGAGGTGACATCCTAAGGTCAAAAGCTAAAAGAATGAAATGCATAGCTCTTATTGAAATTTTAAGTAATTTTAAATTTATAGCAAAATTGCAAAGATAGTAAGTACAGTGTGCCTTTCACCTGTCTTCCCCTTAGGTTAACATCTCACATCATAAGGGTAGGAACTAGGATGAGTCAAGTGAGACACCTAGGGCACAAAATTGCAGGTGACAGCCCCTCTCAGGTGCTGACCCTGCACTTGCATACCCTGAAAGGGGTTGCCTATTTCAATTCTGTGCCCTAGAAGACTCACTTGCCTCATTATAGTTCTAGCCCTATATATAAACCATGGTACAGTTCTCAAAACTAAGAAATTAACATCAGCATTATACTTATTAACTGCACTACAGAGCTCGTTAAATTTTATTAATTTTTTTTTTTTTTTTTTTTTGCTAATGTCAGTTTGCTGTTACAGGATCCAAACCAGACTTGTACATGTATTTAGTTGTCATTTCTCCTTAGTCTTCTTTAATCTGTGACAGTTTTTTGGTGTTTCCTCTGTTTTTCTTGACAAGGTCTTACTCTGTCACCCAGGCTGGAGTGTACTGGCAAGATCACGGCTCACTGCAGCCATTTCCTGGGCTCAAGCCATGCTCCCATCTCAGCCTCCCAAGTAGCTGGGACCACAGGTGCATGCCACCATATCTAGCTAATTTTAATTTTTAATTTTATATTTTACTTTTTTGTAGAGACAGGGTCTCCCTATGTTGCCCAGGCTGGTCTCAAAATCCTGAGCTCAAGGGATCCTGCCGCTTCAGCCTCCCAAAGTGCTAGGATTACAGGCGTGAGCTACTGTGCCTAGCCCTTGTTTCCTCTTAAGTAGAGTTTTACTAGGCTTATCTCTTATTTTCCAAATAAAACTTCTTAATTGATTGTTAATTCTTATTTTATATGTCAGTGTGTATGAAGGGAGGTTCTTTGACACATATGAGGGATGCTGGCATTGTAGGGTTTAAAACTAATTTTTGCTTTAATGGAAAGCCTATGTTTTAAAAATGACTATTGCTTACCACCATTTCCTTAAAGTACGAGTATGTAGAACACAGATTAGATATTCATAAGTGACTTTTTTTTTTTTTTTCAGAGACAGGATCTTCCTCTGTCACCCAGGCTGGAGTGCAGTGGCACCATCATAGCTCACTAAAACCTCAAACTGCTGGGCTCAAGTGATCCTCCCACCTCAGCTTCCCAAGTAGCTATGTCTACAGGTGCTCAGCACCATGCCTGATAGTTTTTTTAAATAAATTTTTTGTAGAGATGCGGTTCTCGCTATGTTGACCAGGCTTGTCTTGAACTCCTGGTCTCGAGCAATCCTCCTGCCTCAGCACTAGAATTATAGGCATGAGCCACCATGCCTGGCCTAGAAGTGATTCTTAAGATATTTTAGAGTTTGAAGTTGCAATGAGCTATGATCATGCCATTAAAGGGAAAAAAAGATATTTTAGAATACTAGAGCTTTACAGAGGAAAGTTAAAATGTGTGATAATATAGTGTATGATATTTTTGTTTTTAATTTAAAGGCATACTCCAATATTTCAGGGCCCTCTCTTGTCTTTTTTATTTTTGGCATAGAGTGGTATCTAAGATATATTATCTCTTTCTCCTAACTCCCCTTTCTTTCTCGCTTTCTTTCTATATGTCTATAGTAATATGATTATTTTGGAGGGAATCTTTGGCATTTTTCCCTCATCAGGCTAATGAGAATGTTTAAAAGAGAGAGGGGACATTAATATCCTTGCCATTTGTGAGACAATATAGGTAACGCCATAAATATATTTACTATAAAATGACAGACTGAGGCCGGGTGCAGTGGCTCATGCCTGTAATCCCAGCACTTTGGGAGGCCAAGGCAGGTGGATCACAAGGTCAGGAGTTCGAGACCAGCCTGACCAAGATGGTGAAACCCCGTCTCTACTAAAAATACAAACATTAGCCGGGCGTGGTGGCAGGCACCTGTAATCCCAGCTACTTGGGAGGCTGAGGCAGGAGAATCGCTTGAACCCGGGAGGTGGAGGTTGCAGTAAGCTGAGATCATGCCACTGTGCTCTACCCTGGGCGACAGAGCAAGACTGTGTCTCAAAGATAAACTGGCACACTGAATAGTCCTATAAATCCTTTGCATTCATCCTGGTGCTCATGTTGTTCTCTTTATATAAATATATATCACTGCAACCTCCACCTCCTGTGTTCAAGTGATTCTCCTGCCTCAGCCTCCTGAGTAGCTGGGAATACAGGCACTCACCACGATGCCCAGCTGATTTTTATATTTTTAGTAGAGACGGGGGTTTCGCCATGTTGGCCAGTCTGGTCTCAAACTCCTGATCTCAAGTGATCTGCCCGCCTTAGCCTCTCAAAGTGCTGGGAATACAGTTTGTAAGTCACCACGGCCGGCCACTCTTTATATTTTTTATAAAAATGAAATAAAAACAAAAAATGTTCAAACCTAATCATTAATGTTTTAGTGAGAAAACACTTATTGGTAGTACTTCCCTGCACAAGATGTATAGCTCTGTGCTGTAACAAACGAGTTAAGACAGGCTCAGCACTTACAATGAAAACCATTTTGACATATGTTAGAATGTGAATGTGGACATGTAACAAGGAAGAGCAGCCTGATCTCATTTTTATTGTAAAGTGTTTGATATGTACAAAAGAATATATAAATATAAATCATAATTATATATGATCTTAAGAGTTGTAAGCACTGTTGTATATACTCACTGAGTACATCTAAAATGCCTTTTATAGTGAATTTCCCAAGAGAAAAAAAATGCTATTTTGGTGAATTATATTTTATGCGTACATATATATTTTAATGGCACTCAGATTATTTGGAAGAAAGGAGGAGGGAGGGGGAAACAGCTTTTACTTAAGTGATACACTTAGTCTTTTACATTTTACTTCTATATAATTTCATTTCTTTTAGCCCGGTGGTTCTTTATTCATTACTACAATCAACAAAACACAACTTTCCTATGCCTTGGGAATTGTTTTTTCAGAGCAAATTGCAAGTATTGTACCAAAAGGTACTCATACATGGGAGAAGTTTGTTTCACCTGAAACACTAGAGAGCATTCTGGAATCAAGTAAGTATTAAGAGAATTTTTTCCAATTTTCCAGGCCTAGCTGAACTTTTAATATGCCAGTAATTATTACGCACTTAGCCTAGCACTTAATAAAATAGGCCACTATGTTTTTGAATGTTGGTTTTATCTTCTCAACTAGGTCATAAACTCATGGAAGCTAGGATTAAGTAGTAGATACCACTTCTCTTTTACCTGTTGCCCCCTAACCCAGGGCCAAGCAGATAACAGATGATCAATGAATACTTTTTGGCTATTTAGTCCTCACTTGTTTAGGAAAGAGATACAAATGTCTGTTATTTACACATTCTCAGTCTGCCTTCTTGAGCCCTGCTTGTATCAGCTTATCTTACATATTATTTTTCCTGATTCCACCACAGTTACATATATTTTGAACTTCAGTATCACTTTTTATGTATTTTATATTACTTACAGCATGACTTTATGGTTATTTTGGTGGTTTTTTTCATCCTTTTATGGCCTGTAAGCTACTTGAAGGCAAGACTATGTCTCCTTTTTGTACTCTCTACAATGCCTAGCTCTGCTTTACACAGAGTGAGCTCTCGATTTATGTGATGAATTCTGGTCAAGTAATAGTGCTTGTCAGTTCATTTATTTGGCATTCGGTATTCCTGTTGAGTACTTAGACTCCTATATTTCTAATGCTTTTTTTTTCATATAAGTCTATCAGTAAACTTGATTTTACTTGGAATATTATTAGTACATAGCCATGTAGTAAATTCTAAAGATTTCTATGAGTAACTTTGTTGAAAATAAAGTAAGGCTGCACGCAGTGGCTCATGCCTCTAATCCCAGCATTTTGGGAGGCCGAGGCAGGCAGATTATTTGAGGTCAGGAGTTCGAGACCAGCCTGGCCAATGTGGTGAAACCCTGTCTCTACTAAAAATACAAAAATTAGCCGGGTGTGGTGGTGCATGCCTGTAATCCCAGCTCCTCGAGAGTCTGAGGCAGGAGAATCACTTGAAATCAGGAGATGGAGGTTGCAGTGAGTCAAGATTGTGCCACTGCACTCCAGCCTGGGCAACAGAGTGAAACTCTGTCTCACAAAAAAAAAAAAAAAAAAAAGTAAAGAAAAGAAAAGAAAGAAAGAAAAGAAAGTAGGAAAAAAATGTTTTAAAGATGTGTTATGGGGACAATCTCCTGTTGGCACATATTTTTTAATAACAGCTAACATTTATTGAGTACTTACCAAACTCCAAGCATTGTGCTAGTTTACACATATAGCTCATCTAATTCTAACAGTTCTATGATACAAGTTCTGTACCTGTAAGAAAACTGAGATTTATAAAGTTAAGTGGCTTGCCCATGGTCACCATGTAATAGGTACCCAAGCTGGGATTTGAATCCAGGCAGACTGCGTTGGAGTATGTGTCCTAATTGCGACTTACTGAAGTTCTGCAGTAAATTGTGATTAGTGCATAGTTACAAAATACGCTTGCCCATTAAGTTAGGAATCCTTTTTTTTTCTTCTTTTCCTATCCATTTAGTGTGCTCTCAGCATTTTTAATATAGAAAGTTGCATGAAACTCTTGGAAATTGGAAGGAAAATATTTATTAAATCTACTCTTTCTGATTTTTTTTTTTTTCAGATGGTCTGTCAGTTCAAACAGTGGTAGGAATGCTCTATAACCCCTTCTCAGGTTACTGGCATTGGAGTGAAAATACCAGCCTTAACTATGCAGCTTATGCTGTGAAATCCAGGGTCCAGGAACACCCAGCCTCTGCTGAGTTTGTTTTAAAGGGAGAAACAGAAGAGCTCCAAGCTAATGCCTGCACCAATCCAGCTGTGCATGAAAAGCTGAAGAAATGAATTGTTTCTGAGAACTATAGTAATATGGCTTGGATATCTGATGTTTTCAAATACAAAAATGTACAATTTATCCTTTGAGAGAGAATCATGAAGAAAAGAAGGTCAATAAAAAGGGCTAAAACCTTGGACAAAAGTTTTTGTTATTTCGTCTAATAGCTACTTTCAAGGGATTCTGTGAATAAAAAGTTTTGTCAAGATATTGCGTGATCTAGGAGTGTAAGTTCCTCAACCTTTGTTGTATAACTAGGGTATGCATATTCATTTCATCGTACAAAAAAATACATATATATATATATTCTGCATGTATACATATACATATGTATATGCTGTAATTTGTTTTTGTTTCAAGATAGGGTCTCACTCTGTTGCCCAGGCTGGATTGTGGTGGCGTGATCATGGCTTACTGCAGCCTCAACCTCCAGGGCTGAAGCAATCTTCACACCTCAGCCTTCTGAGTAGCTGGGACTACAGGCATGCACCACCATGCTTTGCTATTTTTTATTTTTATTTTTATTTTTATTTCTTTTGAGATACAGTCTTGCTCTGTTGTCCCCGAGCTGGAGCGCAGTGGCGCTATCTCATAGCTAGGCTCACTGAAACCTCTGCCTCCCAAGTTCAATCGATTCTCCTGCCTTAGCCTCACAAGTAGCTGGGATTACAGGCACCAGCCACCACGCCCAGCTAATTTTTGTATTTTTAGTAGAGACAGGGTTTCGCCATGTTGGCCAGGCTGGTCTTAAACTCCTGACCTCAGGTGATCCACCCACCTCAGTCACCCAAAGTGCTGGGATTACAGGCATGAGCCACCATGCCTGACCCATAACTCATTTTTTTTTTATACTTTAAGTTCTGGGGTACATGTGCAGAACATGCAGTTTTGTTACCTAAGTATACACATGCCATGGTGGTTTGCTGCACCCATCAACCTGTCACCTACATTAGGTATTTCTCATAATGCTATCCCTCCCCTAGCCCCTAGCCCCCTGAAAGGCCCCAGTGTGTGATGTTCCCCTCCCTGTGTCCATGTGCTATAACTAAATTTTTTAACTGAGTGTTTAAAAAATCCTTTCTACTTAAAAAAAAAGCACCATAAAACATTTAAAGAACTGTATACAGAAGTATGTCAAAATAACCTGAAATTCTTGAATTTAATATTTGAATCCAAATCCAGCATATATTTAACAACTCATTTGCTTTCCAACAAAGTAAAATTTAAAGGAAAAAAAACCATGTTTTATCTTCCCAAATATAAGTGATATGCAGTTATTATTGAATCATCTTGAAGCAATTATTACTGAATCATCTTGAATTTCTAGTACTTAACAATGTATATATTTAATAACTGTGAAAGTTAGGCATCTCTTTCTACAATAAATGAGTTTTGTTTTGGGGACTGCTTTTGAAGCAATTCCATTACATATTTCTTAGATTAATACCAATACTTCTTCTAATAGATAGAGTGAGGAGGCTTAATTTACTAAGAAAACCACTAGAAAACAGACTAAGAATCAAACTTTTAGATGAAGTCCAGTGGAAACTCCTAATTTTTAGTCCCCTAATTAGTCACTGGCAACTGAAGTTAAAAATTTTTCTTCTAATTCTTGAAATTTCACTTTCTTCCCCTAAAATGCCACTGAAAAAAAGAAAAAAAGCTAAGATAGTTGGGAAGTGTTTGCCCAAGGAACCTAAACCAACAGACATTGACAAAGGAATATAGAAAACCTATGAACTGAAAAGTGGAAAAGGCAGAAATAAAAGCTGACCTCTACATGGGCCACACAGCATCCATCTGTGTTGTCACATTTGGCCAACACATTCTGTGTGTGTCCTTATGCAGCATCCAGATTTTCAGAAAAAGCCAGAGACTCACGTACTTCAAGAGGCATAAAAATATATTTCATGTTAGTCCTTTTCATTATAAAAATGTTAGCTGAAAAAGGAAGTTTCCATAACTAAATTGTTGTTGTTGTTGTTTGAGACAGAAACTCACTCTGTCACACAGGCTGGAGTGCAATGGCACGATCTCGGCTCACTGTAACCTCTATTAATTCCTTTGGAATTAATAGATAAAAATATATCTTGCCTCTATGTATAATCTAATTTGATCTTGCAGGCCAACTTCAATCATATTCCAGAAGAAATAGACTTTTAAAAGACATTACAATTTCTTAAATGTGTATTTGTAAAGTGAGGATTACCCAGCTGAAAAGTCCTAATTTTGAGAACCACCTATTTTTGAAAACCAGGAAAGTATCAATTACAGTTATAGTAGAAACTTTAATATGCAAAACTTCCCTTAGGAACACTGGGGGCATAAGAGTCCCTGCAATAAATAATGGCGGAAACTTTAGGGCTGATAGTCCAGCAAAAGAGACCGTAGATCTGTCTTAGGAAGAAAAGGAACAAGGCTGGAGAGAGCAGGAAGGTGAATTTGCTTGGGATTTTGGTTTAGGGTTGGAGGAACAGTGATGGGAAGCTGAGAGATGACCTGAATGAATATGCATACCCTACTTATAAAAGTAGATGACTCACATAGTCCTCATGAAGGCAATCAGATTGCTCAGTGGGGCTACTAATTATAAAAACTCCTAGACCATTTAAGGTTGACTCCCAGAGCTATGAGCACTAGGAGAGCAAAACTTTCAGCACATGGAAGTAGTAATAAATGATGGTAGGAAGAGTCACAAGAGAGAAGTCAAGTGGTGTAGCTTTTTCGAAAACATCCATAAGGAACCATAGAAGCCAGCACCCAGTACACGCACAAAACACCTGTAGAACCTAGAGGAGACTTCTGGCAAGATTCCAGAAACTAGCAACAGTAATGAATAAAATCAATAAAACATGTGCATGTTCTACATATTTCCTCATAGTAAAACATGACAACAAAAATCTTTCTTTTATTTTACATCTTTCAGGAGGCACTAGAATTGTCAGCATCCATTCCTTAAATTATGCCTGAGTGTTCTCAAATGAAAATGTCACTGTTACTACAACTGTAAGCTTAGAAAACTTCCTATTTTTGATAATAATGTCAGGATTTAGAAGTCAGGAGTATCATTTACATAGTCAGGAGCATAATTTACCCAATCTCTATGTAAACAAATCTTCCTCAAATTATCTATTTTAAGCATGCCATCTCTTTCCTGTTGGAAACCTCACAGATATACTGACCCCATGCCCTGACCTCTTCTTCAGTTGTTTCTCATTGCTCATAAGATACAAGGCCTAAATCCTTTAACATGGCTACCAAGTGCCCACATGTAGCCCTACCTACTTCTCAGGGCTGTTTGTTTGCTTTTTGACAAGTTTGCTGTATTTGAATGACAGAACAGTTCATTACAAGTCTTTTGCATTATTTTATTTTATTTTTTTGAGATGCAGTCTCACTCTGTCTTCCAGGCTGGAGACCAGTGGAGTGATCTTGACTAACTGCAACCTCTACCTCTCAAGTTCAAGCAATTCTCCTGCCTCAGCCTCCCGAGTAGCTGGGACTACAGGCTAAATGCATGGCTAATTTTTTTGTATTTTTAGTAGAGATGGGGTTTCACCATGTTGGCCAGGCTGGTCTCAAACTCCTGACCTCAAGAGATCCGCTTGTCTTGGCCTCCCAAAGTGCTGGGATTACAGGCATGAGCCACTGTGCCCAGCTTTTTGCATTATTTTAAACTTTACATTTTAAAATAATTTAAAAATAATTTCAGACTTAGAATAAAGGATACAAAAGTAATACAAAGAGTTCCCATATATCCTTTATTCAGCTTCCCCAAATGTTCACAATTTTAACCACATTATAATTATAAAAACCAGGAAATTAAATTTGATACAATACAGTTATCTAATCTAAAAACCTTATTTAAATTGTATTAATTGTGCCACTAGTTGGTTCTTTTTTTTTTCCTTTTGAAACAAGATCCCACATTGCATTAAATTGTCATGTCTTCTTAGTTTCTTTTAATTTGGGATGGTTCCTCCATCCTTCTTTAACATTCATGACTTTGACACTTGAAGAGCACTGGAGAGTTATTTAGAATGTACCTTAACTTGAGTTTTTCTGAATTTTCTTTGTGATTAAATTCTGATAATGCATTTTTGGAAAGAATACCACAGACATGATACTGTACTCTTCTCCACCTCAATGCATCCTATCAGGAGTTACATAATGTCAATTTGCCTTGTTACTGGTGATGTTAACTTTCATCACTTGACTAAGGTGTTGTCTACCAGGTTCCTTCACGGTAAAGTTAGTATTTTTCCCTTTGAAATGGATGAGTATCTTGCAGCAAGATACCCCTAGAAATATATAAATATTCTGTTTTTCATCATATTTTGCCCATTAGTTGTATCATCCATTGATGCTTATTGCTTGAAACTATTATGCCTATGGTGTTTGTCTCTTTCTACACTTATTAATGGAATTCTTCTGAAAGGAAGAGCTGTCCCTTTTCCTCCATTTACTTATTTATTTACATCCATATAGACTCATGGATATTTATTATCATTGATATGTTATTATTATTCATTACCATTTCATGATATGATTATTCATTATTATTTTCTTTTTCAACTTGTCCCAGATTTGGCCATTGGAACCACTCCTGTGTCCTTTCATGTCCCCATAATTTTTTTTTTTTTTTTTTTTTGAGACAGAGTCCTGCTCTGTCACCCAAGCTGGAGTGCAGTGGAGTGATCTCGGCTTGCTGCAAGCTCCGCCTCCCAGGTTCAAGCAATTCTCCTGCCTCAGCCTCCTGACTAGCTGGGATTACAGGCGCCTGCCACCACGCCCGGCTAATTTTCGTATTTTTTTAGTAGAGACAGGGTATCGCCATGTTGGCGAGTCTGATCTTGAATTCCTGACCTCAAGTGATCTGCCTGCCTTGGCCTCCCAAAGGGCTAGGGTTACAGGCGTGAGCCACCATGCCTAGCCTAATTTTTTGAACACCACATTTTTTCTGGCACCATAAGATGCTCCGGGTTCAACTTGTGTTTTTCCTGAACCAGCCCTGGAAATCGAGGGACTCTAATACCTTTAATTGGAGAATGGTATTTAGAAACCAAGATCTGAGCACCAACGACTCTTGTAACTACTGAGGTGTCATTGATTCCAGGTTCAGCAGATAGCTAGGAAATATGTGAATGCATACAAATATACATATCTCTATTTCTGTATCTGCGGGTGTGTTGTTTGTGTGTATATAATAATGAATTCATACTGATACCTCTGATTCCAATCCAACATCACAGCGTTTATTCCAACGTTCCTCCTTTCTTTATTTGTAACCCTTTCTCTGACAATGAGAAACCTAGCTCTCATTATTCACAGTATATTCAGTTATTTACTCAATTCCAGAATGCTTAGTTTCACAATTGCTAACTCATACCACTGCGAGTTAGTTCTTTTCCTTCTCATCTATCTCAGCATGTTATTCATTTGTAACACAGTTGGGTTCTTATGGTACTCTGTGTGTGTGTGTGTATGTGTGTGTGTGTGTGTGTATCTATCTATATTTTTTGAGACAGGTCTCACTCCAGGCCGGCGTGCAGTATCCCAAGCATAGCTCAGTGCAGCCTTGAACTCCTGGGCTCAAATGATCCTTCTACCTCAGCTTCTTGAGTAGCTAGTGCTACAGGTGCATGCCACCATACCTGGCTAATTTTTTTTGAGACGGAGTCTCATGTTGTCGCCCAGGCTGGAGTGCAGTGGTGCAATCTCGGCTCACTGCAACTTCCACCTCCAGAATTCAAGCGATTCTCATGCCTTAGCCTCCTGAGTAGCTGGGATTACTGGCGTACACCACCACGCCCAGCTAACTTTTGTATTTTTAGTAGAGACAGGGTTTCACCATGTTGGCCAGGCTGGTCTCGAACTCCTGACCTCAAGTGATCTGCCTGCCTCAGCCTCCCAAAGTGCTGGGATTTACAAGCATGAGCCACTGTGCCCAGTCTACCCGGCTAATTTTTTTTTTTGAGTTGGAGTCTCGCTCTGTCACCCAGTCTGGAGTGCAGTGGCATGATCTTGGCTCACTGCAAGCTCCGCCTCCCGGGTTCATGCCATTCTCCTGCCTCAGCCTCCCGAGTAGCTGGGACTACAGGCACCCGCCACCACGCCCAGATAATTTTTTTGTATTTTTAGTAGAGATGGGGTTTCACCGTGTTAGCCAGGATGGTCTCGATCTCCTGACCTCGTGGTCTGCCTGCCTCGGCCTTCCAAAGTGCTGGGATTACAGGCATGAGCCACTGCACCTGGCCCTACACAGCTAATTCTTAAAAATCATTTGCAGAGACAGGGTCTCACTATGTTGGCCAAGCTGGTCTTCTGCCCTCAAGTGATTCTTCTGCCTTTGCCTCACAAAGCGTTAATATTACAGGCATGAGCCACTGCATCTGGCCTGATATTTCATTTTGGGTCTGTCTTTGCCCACATCTTGGCTAATTTAAGTTATTTCCTTTGGAAATACATGCCACTAACATAGTACTGAAAGTCAGAACTATACAAAAGTTATACTCAGAGACATGTCACTCTCCTATATGCCTTCTACTCTGTTTCCATCTGCCCCATTCTTTCCATCCATTCTTGCTTACTCATTGTAAGTGACCAATCTCATTATTCTTCTGGTTTTGTGGGTTTTGCAGAAATGAACAGAAATGTATATTATTTCCCCCCTTGCTTACATGAAAAGTGGCAAACTATTGGTAGTGTTTTGCACTTTGTCCCAGGCTTCATGTTGTTACATTGTTATGGGAACTGTTGCTCAGTTCTCCCTCCACTGTCAGGAACATTTAAACTCTCTCACCACTAGCCACCCACCCCTTCACTTAGTTCACTCTACTTCTCAGTCTGACCTCAGCCCAAGCATCACCTCTCCTGGGGACATTTCTCTGATCTCCCTGACTAGGGCAATACCATTTTAATATTATACTTTATTTCCTTTCTTGTAGCACTTACTGCAATTGCAGGCTTAGATTTATCCATGTGAATATTTGATTCGAATTTGTCTCACATAAGTACTGTGTGGGCTGGGACCACTGTTCTGCTGTGTTCACTATTGCATCCCCTGATCCAGTTTGGTGCCTGGCACATGATATGTGTTTATTGAATAAAAAAATGAATGAATGAAGTATTGGTAATATATTCCAACAAAGTTCCAATAAAGTCAGTAATCTGGATATCTGACAGGTTACTACTGTAGGCTTTTTTTTTTTCTTTTTGGAGACGAAGTCTTGCTCTGTTGCCCATGCTGGAGTGCAATGGCGTGATCTCGGCTCACTGCAACCTCTGCCTCCCATGTTCAAGTGATTCTCCTGCCTCAGCCTCCCGAGTATCTCGGATTACAGGCATGTGCCACCATGTCCAGCTAATTTTTATATTTTTAGTAGAGACGGGGTTTCACCATGTTGGCCAGGCTGGTCTTGAACTCCTGAACCTCAGGTGAACCACCCGCCTCAGCCTTCCAAAGTGCTGGGATTATAGGCATGAGCCACCATGCTCAGCCAATTTTGTGAATAATAGGTTCAAAACTTATCCTTTCTTCACTTTGGGTCTACCACCTTCAGAGAAGGCCAAATAAATAAAAACAATTTTCTTGAGGTTTTGAAAAGTATTTAATCTGCCTGTCTTTATTCTCAATTTCCCCTTATCTTTTCCTAAGAATATGGCCTGTTTTCATCTTTCTAAAGATTAACCCATGCCATCCCCAATGCCTGGAGAGCCTCCTTTTTGTTCCCCACTAACTGCTCCTCAGTGACCCTCTTAGCCACCTGTGAACAGACATAGCCAAGTCTCATGGATGTTCTCTAAACCTCTTCCCTTCTGTAGCAAAATAACTCTGTATTTTAGCTACATTTCTCAACCTTCTTTGCAGCTAGATGTGGCCATGCCTTTTAGTTATGGCCAATGAAATGTAAATAGAAATAATACGCGTAACTTTCAAGAAGTGTCCTTAAAAATATGCCCTTTTCTGTGCCCTTCCTCCTTCCTGCTGGCTGAAAAGAGGACATGATGGCTTAAACTGGAGCAGTCATCTCAGACTTTCAGCTGGAGAAACAAGATTGAGAAGCCTGAGATGTGAAGTACTATGTTATCCCTAGGCAGTTTACTTCCATACTTGAGAGAAGAGAGAGAGACACACACAGAGAGGCAGAGAGAATCAACTTGTTTGAGCTACTGATGTTTGGGTTTTCTGTCACTCACAGCCAAAATCTTAATTCATTGTAGCTTACTTTACCATAACATCCAGACCTAGAGCCAAATTACCACTTAGAGAGCAGGGATAAATAACCCAAACAAAGCTCACATCTGTTGATTGGAGGATCCCACACAAAGGAAAGCAATGATTTAGGAATCATTATAAGAATGACCACTTTAGGTCTAGGGGACCATGATGACATAAGGATGAAGTCAATTCAGAGGCAATGGCAGACGTCCATATCTTTATTCACTCAGCACCCTTCTCTCTCGTCCATTGAGTGAGTAGCTAACCTGCTTCCAGACTCAGCCCAAATATTGCCTCCATGAACCCATTCCTGACCCAGCTTTCTGACTCAGGTAGAACTGATTATTCACATCTTAGAGCCACCCTTTTCCTCCTCTACCAGCCCCACTCTGTTATCCTATATTTATTCTATCAAGTGTTTATAACATCTTAGTACCCTTAATTCTTTATTAGGAAGCTCTTTGTGAGTAGGAACTGCATGTCTTATCTATATATTTCTAGTGTAATTTCTGGCACATACAGCCACTATTAAATAAGAGTTGAAATGAATAAATACTTGTCTTATGAAATCCAGCCAAGAAACATATATATAACATATAAAATGAGATCATTTTTACACGTGGTGTAGGAACACAATCTCCAAGCCCATGGTGATTTCTGTCAACTTTTAGATATTCTTCTTCCCTTTAAGCACTGTCTCTACTCTTTTTTAACTGACCTATTCAGTCACTCAAATGGAAAATTAAAAGCACTCGCATTGCCTACAACGTAATAATTGATTCAGGCAACGGTCATCAGTGAGAGCTGTCAATCTAAAATAAGCAACAGAGAGGCTGACTCTCCAAAACAAAGAATTTACTTGGGAATAGCAAGAAATTGCCATTCAGAATGCGATTCACCATAGGCACATACAAAGAGGCTGGGGCAAGGGGAAGTTTTTAAGTGAAAAAAAGGAGACATCCATGTAAGCTGCTTTGAAACAAATCCATTGGTTACAGAGGCTTGTTGCAGGAGTTGGCACTGGCTTATTACTGGAGACAGCCATTGTTAGGTGAGTGTCCTTTGCAAGTGGCTTATCTGGAATAGTGCGGGTTTGAGGAATTTCTTGCAATAATTTCTGTTACAGATATAGGTGTGTGAGGGCTCCTTCTTTGTGGCTTCTCAGCTGCATTTTGAAAGAATATGACTTAAGTGACTCAATTTTGATACTGATAACTTCCACAAAGTTAAAACCATTGATATAAAAATTGAGGGGAACAGGATGTTTATTGGATGTCAAAGTATCACCCAACAGATTACTTACTAATTCCAAATGAGTGTTTTTTTACAATGGAAAGATTAAATTTAGCATCACTCATAGTGGGATTGCCTTACACTATGTCCTCCTGATATGATGCAATATGAAGTGCATGATATATCTATGGTGTGTCCTTGCTAAAAAAAAAAATTTAAATCTAATTATGCTTCTAGGCTTAAGTTTCCAGAAATATAGGGCAAAGGGAAACACGTTAAAATAAACTATAAGGGGAAAGCCAGACAAATCCAAAATGTGAGGCATTCTACAGGTTAACAGGCCTAAACTGGGATGTAGGTTAAAAGTGACCAATGCAATGCAAGACTGGATTCTAGACAGAAAAAACAACGGCAAGAACCAAACAACTAGAAAATATGTTCGAGACAATTGGAAAATTTTGAAAATGGTTTGAATATGTACTGGATATGAGATAGCATTATGGAATTATATATTTCCTTGTGTGTGATAATATTATGTTTATGAAAGAAAATGTCCTTGTTCTAAGGAATTGCATGCTGAAAAGTAAAATACTTGCAACTTATGTTCAAAGGGTTAAAAAAAATGAAAACAGGCCATGTTGTTAGTACCTGATAAGGGGCAAATGGGAATAGTCAGATAAAGAGAGACAGATGAGATACTTTTCAGAACTTTAAGTTTCTGAGAGTGTGTGTCCCCGCTTATGTAGAAACACAGAGGAAGTAAATGTAGCAAAAGACTAACAGTTGATGAGTCTAGATGAGGGCACACAGGCTACTATTCCTTCAACTTTCCTATTAATTTGAAAATTTTCAAAATCAAAAGTTAGCAGAAAATGTTAGTGAAATTATGATTTTGAGTTGGCCAAGAAAAGAATTCCTACATTGATTATTGTCTCTGTGTCGCATATTCATTTTAAAAAGAATTCATGATTGGCCGGACGCGGTCACTCACGCCTATAATCCCAGCACTTTGGGAGGTTGAGGTGGGCGGATCACCTGAGGTCAGGAGTTTGAGAGCAGCCTAGCCAACATGGTGAAACCCCGTCTCTACTAAAAGTACAAAAATTAGCCAGGCGTGGTGGTGGCGTGTCTGAAGCCCAGCTACTCGGGAGGCTGAAGATGGAGAATCGGTTGAACCCAGGAGGTGGAGGTTGCAGTCAGTGGAGATTGTGCCATTGCACTCCAGCCTGGGCAACAAGAGTGAAACTCTGTCTGAAAAAAAAAAATTTATGGTTACTCTTGGCTATTTACTGTAATCCTTTGGATTTATGAAGTGCCAAATCTTGTGCTAAATGCTATGCATGTGCAATCTCACTTAATCCTCACAACAGCATGAGGTAGAAACTATTGTTAGCTTCATTTCTCAGAAATGTTGAGTGACATTGACATGTTCAGCATTACACAGCTAGGAAGACAGAGCCAGGATCTGAAGCCAGGCAGTCTGATTCCTGAGCCTGTGCACTTCACCACTTTTATACTTGTATCTAGTGTCCATGCCATCATATAGTCATAGCAGTAGCATAGCCATGCACAGCTGGATTATTTTAATCACATATTTGAATTGTCTGTATGCAAGGCAGCATCTTCAAAAATATTGAAATCAGACAGAACATCAGCAAGCCTGAGTCTGGGCTCTTGACTCAGTTCTCTTAAAGATTAATTCCCCTTCTATGATTAAAACAACTATAAGCTACTAATTGCAACTTTATAAAAATGCTTTAAATACCCTGCATAAAATTATATCCTTACTCTCTGTATTATACTTAGATGTTTTACTATTATATTAGTGTTAAATTGAAGAAAAGCATCAAGTTAAAATATAACACATTGAAAGTATCTTAGTCAAGCACAAAAGTCAAAATTTTGGACACTATTTGAAATAGCCCTTTGATGTATTCTAGGGACACTCAAGAGGGCTTCTGTGTTACTACTGGCCTGGAATAGATATAACATTGAGAAGCATCAAGTTTTAGAGACTGTTCAGTAACCAGGCACAAGCTCAAGTCATGCTTACTGGGAATATTTTTTAAACCTGGACTGCGGAGGTCCCCACAATTCCATTTAACATATTTACATTATTATAGGCTACAGAAAGAGGTCTGAACATCTAAGAAAATGTCAATGTAGAAATAAAGATGGAAACGAGATGAGATAAAAGTGTTAGTATAGTCAACACATAATTGTTTTGATTAACTTATGATGTTAATTAACTTACAATGTGACTCTATTAGAAGGGAGATTCTTACTTGACAATTACTGATGAGATGCAAATGACATACAAACTTTTTCTGTATCAAAAAAGCTGACACTGACCGTTTGCATGAAAATTAAGTAAAAAAAATGGATTGTGAGTTCAATAAACCTCTTGTATCTGAGGAAAAAAGTGATGCGGCACGTATAAAGAACCGTTGTCTAGGAGATAAAAGGCACCAGTTGGACCCAAAGAAAAAAAATATGTTCTCAAGATGATGTGGTGGCAGAGCTAAGAATGGGAGTAGAGAGTTTCAAGGTAAATATGGGCATGAGATGTTCCCACTTCAGCTAGATCTGAATCCTTGTTTCTCATTGAGGAACAGAACCAATGGATGTAGAACTCACTGATATCTCACAAGATCTCCATTCCTTTCTTGACTTTAAAACAGGCTTGGTGTTTGTCTCTGTGCTCCTTAGATGACACCTTTTCCTGAGAACAATCAGTTCAAGTGCAGGTCATTGGTGTTCCAGGGAGCCACCAAGTCCAGATGGTTGTGCCATTCCTATAGCCTGATAAGGATCTCTGCTATCCCTAGTCGTTGCCCAACATGTAGACACCCCATAGTGATTCTTTCCCAGAATCTCTCCTTAAGAGTGTTTCTTGAATGTTTCTTGCCTAACTCCCATTGATCTTCTATACTTTTCTGCTACAACCCCTATAAGGCCCATTTCATGATATACTAATTACCCTACCTTCTCAAGTCCTCTTTGTAGTGCCCTTTACTTCCTACCTCAACTGAAACCTGCTGTCCTATGAGGACATGATTTCACCCGGAGGAAGTCCCACATTTTCTATGAACCTCAGACTTTGGAGATGGGCTTTATGTCCTCTTCACTCACTGCCATTACTTTTGGGTAAAAGCTCATGCTTCTCCAAGTTTCAGGTCTAGCTCTCCCATCCTCTACTCCTCCTCTGTTCCAAACTCCCACTTCTGGTCACACCCCTCAATCACAGCATCTTTTTTCTTCTACTCTCCCTAAGTCTTCCCATATTCATGAATAACTCCTCTGTCCTTGTGGATGGTCTGTGTCCTATCTTGTCAGCAACAGACTCTTATCTCTAGAGGCTTCTACCTTCCTGGTCACAACTGACAAAGACTCTCTCCTTGACCGAATTTTAGTCAGGCTCCACTAAGCCTTCTTCTCAACTAAGCCTCAACATTTGGACTTCTGTGTCAATGTTTGCATTGCCCAATTTTAGAGAGAATTCTGCTAAGTCAGTTTAGCCAGATTCTCCCATCCTTGATGTTTGATCACCTTCAGTATCTGATCAAATTTCTCATTTCCCATGTGGCATCTGATCACCCAGGGCTGTCTTCATCAGGAATCTTGTTGGCCAGTTTAGCCTTCTAGCCTTGATGTCTTCTCATAGTAATTCTCCATCCTCTGACATCTTCTCCCCTCTCCCTGCCACTTTGCTGTAAATCCTCACTTTTCCTTGTTGTATTTGGAGTTAAGCTCAATCTTTCTCCCCTATTGCAAAGCCCCATTGAAGTAGTCCCTTGAAAAAGGTTTTCTTTACTGCCTTTAACAAGTATCAGAATAATTTTTTCTTTAATACACCCCAGCATTTGAGGTCACCCCGGAACATTGAAATAATAGATTTGAGCATCCCATTCAGAGGATGAGACCACTCTAAAACTATAATAGAAAATCAAGAAGCCATAGAAGAAAAAATGGAAAGAGACTGGGGCAGTGGCTCATGCCTGTAATCCCAGCACGCTGGGAGGCTGAGGCAGGTGAAACGCTTGAGTCCAGGAGTTCAAGACCAGCCTGGGCAACATGGTGAGATCCTACCTCCACAAAAAATACAAAAAAAAAAAAAAAAAATTAGGTGGCCGTGGTGATGCCTGCCTATAGTCCCAGCCACTTGGGGTGGTTGAGGTGGGAGGATCGTTTGATAATTCAGGGAATTATGTGAAGTTACCTAAGCCCAGGAGGTTGAGGCTGCAGTGAGCCGTAATCATGCCACTGCATTCCAGCCTGGGTGACAGAGCGTCTTGTCTCAAAAATAATAAATATGTAAAATAAAAAGAAAAAATGGAAAGATAACAAGCTGGGGAAAATATTTGCATCACTTTGATTTATAGACCAAGAGTTATTTTTCTCTATTAAGAGCTCATATAAATAAATACATATATAAATAATGCCAAGTGAAAAATGAATAGTTCAGGACCAGGTGTGCACATATAATTTCAGCTATTCAGGAGACTGAGATGGAGGGATCACTTGAGGAGTTTGAGTCTAGCCTGGGCAACATAGTGAGACTTGACGCTTAAGACAAAACAAATGAGCAGTTCACAAAAAATAGAAATACATCTTTCCAAAAAATGCATTCAACCTTACACATAATAAGAGAAGCACAAATTTAAAACTACAAGGAGACACTGCTTTTTCAAATTAGGGAGGATCAAAACATTTAACAATATCATGTACGGTAAGGGTAGGACAAGGAAACAGACACTTTGAACACTATTGACAGTAACATTTTTTCAAGCTAGTTTCTGCCTCCGCAACACTTAAATGCACTCACTCACCCACGAAGGTCAGTAATGTCTGCCCTACTGGCTAACTTTATTTTACTTGACTTTTTGGGAGCATGTGACACTATTGATCCTAACCCTAAATTTCTCGAAACTCCCTATTCCCTTCTGTGGCTCTGACACCCTCCCACTTGTTGCTCCTTCTCAGTTTCCCTCTTTCTTTGCCCATTCTCTAAATATGATGTTCTTAGGGTTCTGTTCTTTGCCCTAGCAAACTAATACACTGTTCAAACTCAAAATGTTCTACACTTCTCACGATTCACCTTCTCAATTGCCTCTCACTCATCTGAGCCTGGTTATTATTTGCATATCTTTTCTCAGCATCAAGTTAATCTTACAGGACATGCTTTCTGAGAGTTGCATAATGGTTTATAAAATGCTCAAGTCCAGTGGATCAGAAAGTATATAGGCAAAGCACCTTATGGTGAGAGGTGAGAGACTGGCTTCCAGCTATAATGTTAGTTAGGATTCAGAATTCTCCTATGGGCTGGGTGCAGTGGCTCATGCTTGTAATCCCAGCACTTTGGGAGGTTGAGGCAGGCAGATCACGAGGTCAGGAGTTCGAGACCAGCCTGGCCAACACAGTGAAACACCGTCTCTACTAAAAATACAAAAATTAGCTGGGTATGGTGGCAGGCGCCTGTAATCCCAGTTACTTGAGAGGCTGAGGCAGGAGGATCGCTTGAACTCGGGAGGCAGAGGCTGCAGTGAGCCGAGATCGCCCCACTGCACTCCAGCCTGGGCAAAAGAGCTAGACTCTGTTTCAAAAAAAAAAAAGAAAAAAGAATTCTGCTATGCCAGGTGGGTAGCTTGGTGTGAGATGTCTTCTCCATAAATCAAGCCAAGAAAGCAGAAGTTTACAACAAAATTCAGAGAAATATTATCAATTAAATTACCTACATTTGAATAACATAGAGATATTTTAATGCAATAGCATAGTAAATGTTACTATGTAAAAACCAGCAATAGTGCCACATCACATCCACTTATTACTGTAGGAGCAAGGCTTTAAATCTCTTAAACTTGATTTTAAAACATCAAGTGTAATATCATTCTGATAAAAGATGATTAGGATAAATTAAATTTGTAAATTATTTTGTTCATTTGTTTATGCTGTTTGTATTGGTGCCTGAAAAATGTTCCATGATATTATTAATCACCCAGGTAGTGAAACAGAGACATCATAAATTGCCTATTCTCTGTCTTCTCTCTTATCTCCTGTCCCCTTCCCTTACATCTCTCCTTCCCCATGACTTCCTCCCTCAGCTCCCAGCACTTGGGCATCAGGTCAGTCTCTCAGAAGAAATACACATTACTTTCTGTTCTAATTGTTCTTCTAGAGTCTTGATTTATTTTCTTCCTATTTCTCATTCTACTACTGCCCCAAACTTATCTGCAATGTATGATGTTCAAACTAATAAAAGGTGGTGACTTGATTGGGTTGATTAGAAACCATCTAACATGGGGTACACCTGGTGGGCAGAGTTCTTGATCTTCCTCATAAGCCAGTGGTATAAACAATTGTTACACAAACTGTGGTCTGGTATCACCTGGAAGCTTGTTAGAAATGCAGACTCTCAGGCCCCACCCCAGAACTACTGAGTCAAATTTTGCATTTTAACAATATCCTCATATACACGGTAATGTTTGAGAGGCCCACACTCAAAACATCCTAAACTTTTCTCACCACCCACCTTCTCAATTACCTCTGATCTAATTGTCTCTTGTTTGATCGTCATGACAGAGCCCCAGGTGACACATATGTACTTTAAGGTTTGGGAAACACTGATTTAGTTGTCCTTACCCAATTGTCTTGGCGAGGCTGTAGACCCACATGACACAGGGCACGCCGATATCTGCATAATAAATTATCTGAAGCTACCTTTTTCAGGTGACAGTATAACCTGCAGGCATTGGATGCTTTGTAGTCATTCAGTTGAGACAGTTGAAAACTGAGCCCCAGACTAATAGTGTAAAGCAAGAATACCATGGACAGCGCTCCAGCACTCACTGTTCTTGGTGTGAGACCCTTGTAGGTCAAAACCTTGTCCAACCTGGCGGCCCAGGACGACTTTGAATGTGGCCCAACACAAATTTGTAAACCTTCTTAAAACATTATGAATTTTTTGCGATTTTTTTTAAAGCTCATCAGCCGTCCTTAGCGTAGTTTAGGTGTGGCCCAAGACAGTTCTTCTAATGTGGCCCAGGGAAGCCAAAAGATTGGACACCGCTGATGGAGGTGGTGGAGCGCCCACAGGGCCACTGGTGTAAGACATGCTTGGATCCATCATCACCTCACTCTGGGAATTGAACTTGTTAATTGTCCCCTCTGGGCCTTAGTTTCTTTCAGTTGTAAAATTGAAATGACAATACTTATCTAACATAGCTTGTTACTGGAAAAAAAATCACTATACAACACAAACAGGTGTTCAATCAATATTAGTTCCTTCTTTTTTCTTGTCTTATAACAACTCAATTAAAGTTAGTTAACAAAAAGTCCTTGAAAAAGAAAAAGAAATTGCCTCTAGTTTGGAGCTAATGTCCATGCGTACGGCACCAAAGCTGTCAAAATTAGTGGTGGTGGTGGTAGAAGGGGTGAAGTAGAGATGCCTAGCCTAGTGCCCAGAGTCTTCAAATTTTCTCACTAACTATAGGAGCCTCAGGAGGAGAGCTGGGGTGCAGACATGCTCAGCTCCTGCACCTTCAGCCTCAGTAGGGAGGCCCTGCATAGCTGCTGTGGCTTCAGCCTGTGACTTGGCTCTACACTAGGGATTCTGAGGAGCCATTCTTTGCAGAATCAGCCTCCTTAGCAACTCTTGTTAACCAAGCTGTGTTTGGTTCCTTTCTACTGAGTTTATCCCACCACCACCACTCCTCTGGGGCTGAGTCCCTTGCCCCTGAGCCTGAGTCTCCCATCTTTCTACAGCTGGCTTGCACCCCTTTGTGGAGCAGCTTTTCCCTCTGAAACTCAGTCTGTCTTTGGATGAAGATTTGGCTGAGGATTGCATCAGTCGGTGCCTTTACAGCTAGAGCTGCTTTCCTTGCTCCCCAAAGGTTTGTTCTGAGGTTCTTCTTTTTTATTTCAGATGGAGTCTCACTCTGTCACCCAGGCTAGAGTGCAGTGGCGCGATCTCAGCTCACTGCGACCTCTGCTTCCCAGGTTCAAGTGATTCTCCTGCCTCAGACTCCCAGGTAGCTGGGGTTACAGGTGCTCGACACCATGCCTAGCTAATTTTTGTATTTTTTTTTTAGTAGAGACACAGTTTCACCATGTTGGCCAGGCTGGTCTCAAACTCTTGACCTCAAGTGATCTGCCCACCTCCCAAAGTGCTGGGATTACAGGCATGAGCCACCCCACCATGCCCGGCCTGTTCTGACATTCTGATACCAAATATTTGTCCAACTCAGATTTGTTGTCTCCTCAGTCTACTCTTCCTCTTTTCATCTTATACAGCCCTAACAATAATCATCTTTTCTCTTCTATGCCATGGATCTAAAAGTTAAAATTTAAGATGCATCAGATTAAGATGACATTTTAGTTTCTCTTGTGGAATTTTATTTTATTTTTATTTTTATTTTTATTGAGACGGTGTCTCGCTCTTGTTACCCAGGCTGGGGTGCAATGGCACAATCTCTCCTCACTGAGACCTCCGCCTCCTGGGTTCAAGCAATTCTCCTGCCTTAGCCTTCCGAGTAGCTGGAATTACAGGTGCTCGTCACCACTCCCGGCTAATTTTTTGTATTTTCAGTAGAGACGGGGTTTCGCCATGTTGGCCAGGCTGATCTCGAACTCGTGACCTTAGGTGATCCACCCACCTTGGCCTCCCAAAGTGTTGGGATTACATGTGTGAGCCACCTGTGCCCAGCCCACATCTGCTTCTTAAAGATGTTCACTGCAGTGTCTCTAAAAATGTAAACCATATTTGAACCAGAGACCAGATGATGCTCAACAGTTGTCTGACACTACCAGGAAGCAGCAGTGGGCCCCTGGCCTGCATGAGTGGGTGGGGCAGGTCACTATGAGTGAGAGTGAATTGTAGTCAGTGGCTTTCTGGGATAAAAATACTACACTTCCTCTGGGTTCTAACTTGTTTTGGGCATAAGGTTTGTCAGGATTGACTCTCCCTTTTGCCTTCCATATTCTTCCACTTAAGGTAATTTATGCCCATCCCCATGTCTAGACCTAGATATGCAAATAATGTGATCCCAAATATCAAACTTATATTCTTTAAATATTGGCTCAGTGTTCACTGAGAGCAAAGACTGAGTGCTCTGTGGGAAGGGCACAGAAGGAGCATGGAGAATCCCTGGTGCCAGCCCTCCTTGTTCCCTCTTCCAGAGCACTGCAGCTTTGGTCCCAGACTTAACTACTCTGCTTCTTGCCGACAAGGCCAGGCAGCCTTCTGGCCTCTCTCCTTGAAAGACCGGCTGGTGACCACCTCAGTCACCCCAGGAGGCCGTTGGGTTTCACTCCTTGCAACCTACTTATGGGAGCCTCACTTAGAACCACACACATTACTTCTTCCTGGGAGGTCACATTTTCCCAGGAGTGTTTGGGGAGTCTCACATGCTGGTGCCTAGGCATCAGCTGACTAGCCCCTCCCCCCGTCTCGTTGAGGCGACACGTCCATATTTATTATTTATTAACAAGACGACCACACTCCTTGCCTGTTCTAAGGGGCGGGTGTGTCAGGAGAGGAAAAAAAGGGGGAGTCCTTTTGCGCCTCAATCTCTGCTCCATAGGCAAGAGCCTGGAGGTTTCTTTTACCCATCCTTCCACCTTGAGAGTGATGAACCTCCACGGCCCGAATCCTTTTTCAGTTCTTCCAAACAATTTAAAACTATCCATGCTCTTGTTAAAATCTGTGCATATATTACAAGCTTCTATTCTTTGTACTTATGAACTTTAATAAATGAAGTTAAAGGAAAAAAATACACTGAACACACACACAGTTGTTAGACAGATTTTCTAAAACAAAAGAGGGACCCCCGTCCCCCAACCGAAACCCTGTATCAGCGAGTTCCCTGATAGTGACTTCAAAGAGGAAAGACTTGAACTGGGTTTGTCAGAGAAATCTCTCTAGGTAGAGTATTTTGTTATTTGCCAAACCAGACATCTCGTCTCTGCGAACACCTGGTCAAGCCCGAGGTAATTGTGTAATGTAATAAGAGTGTTTTTATACATTATGCAAATACGCAGCGCTTTCCTGATGGCCAGAACAATCTGATTCCCGACTTTAATCCTGGCCCACGCTCCCAGCCCCCGCCTGGTGGCGTCTCCTGCCCGCAGCTCCGCGCCGCCCCAGGTGAGTCCTGCGCGTTCCCTACTCTGGGGCCCGCGGGAGGGGCTGGAGCGCAGGCGGAGGGCCGGCCGGGGTAGGGGAGGACCGGGATCCGGGCCCCGACTGCAGCTTCCTCGCGGTGGGGCCGCATTTCCAGGCACCTCCGCCGCCCTTGCCCGCGCGCGGCGAGCGGTTTTTGGGCGTGCCGCCCGGAGGCGCGGAGCCTGCCCGGCGCGCCTCAGCCCTGCAGATCCGGCCCCGGCGGAGGCGGCCGGACCGCGGAGATGCGGGGAGGGGGCAGGGCGCGGGGTAGGTGACTTTATCCCGCCTCTGTTTCCCTGCCCCGGGGAGCAATGACATCACGCGGCCTTCTCCAGGCGCCGACACAAAGAGCGGGGCGGAGAGGCAGCTGCGGGGGGAGCCGGCGGCCGCTGCTGCCGCCCAGGGCTCTGGGGCCCCGCCGGCCAGGCCCGCCGTCCGCGGCCAGTGCCCTTCCTCCTCCTCCTCCTCTGCCGCCGCCTCCTCAGTCGCCGCCGCCTCCTCAGTCGCCGCCGCCCGCGCCGCCCGCGCCCTCCGCGCGCCTCTGAGCCCGCGCCGGGCCGCGCCGGCCCCTTCCCATGCGGGCGGCGCGGGCCCTGGGAGGGGCGCCCGGAGCCAGCCGCGCAGCATGCACTGGGGGGTTGGCTTTGCTTCGTCCAGGCCGTGCGTGGTGGATCTGAGCTGGAACCAGAGCATCTCCTTCTTCGGCTGGTGGGCCGGGTCCGAGGAGCCCTTCTCCTTTTATGGGGACATCATCGCTTTCCCTTTGCAGGATTACGGTGGGATCATGGCAGGGCTGGGCTCCGATCCCTGGTGGAAGAAAACCCTTTACTTGACCGGGGGAGCTTTGCTGGCCGCAGCTGCGTATCTGCTCCACGAACTCCTGGTCATTAGGTGAGCCGGAGAGAGGGCCCCGCACAGGGGCGCAGAGAGGGGCACCTGGCTAGGGCAGGGCTGGCGCGAGAGGGGCCCGTGCCAGCCCCTCGGTCAAGCTGCCCAGATGCCCAAGCGCCCTGCAATTACCTTTCCCTAAAGGCATTTGTGGTCACCTGGCCGTGAGGGGCAGTTTAGAGTTGAAAGGAGAATTAAACCGGTGCTGGGAGGGAAAAACATTTGTCTCCCAAAATGCTCTGGGTCACTTGTCGTTATCTATTAAGAAATGGCCTTAGGAGGATCTAAGTGCAGTGTGTTTGCAACAATAGAATTGGGCCCTGCAGAAATAGGTTACACTTTTATGAAATGCCTTGTTTATAAGTAATAATGCTGGAATATTAACTGCTAACCTTATCTTTTACCTAAAGGTTAGTTCTTCCCTAAATGTCAACATCAAAAGACTGAAAAATTGCAAAAGCTCCAGAAACCTGCGGGTCCCTGTTAAAGATGCATGACCAAGTGTAGTGGTGGGCAGCTTTGATGCAGCCTTAACCTGGTTCTCTGCTTATCTGGTATTGAACGCCAAGCACCATCTTCAGGCTTAGATGTCATTGTTGTGTGAGCAGTAGGACAGGCTAGCACATGGGTGTGTTGGGCACAACACGGAGTCGCCCAGTGCCGTAAACAGTTGCATCCGCTGCCGCAGAATGTTTACAAGATTGAGTTGGAAATACCAGAAAATGGAGGCCCCTGCTGTTGGTACATCCAGCCGGGACGAGATTTTTGTTTGGGTAGAGTAATACCACAGGGCACTGAGACAGTCGTTTGGCTAATTGATACATCAATTAATGGTTAAAATTTCCATGCATTTGAGCCTTCCGTCACTGGAAGATTACCAGAAGCCCAGTTTTCAATAGCTCAGAATGTCTCTTTGCCAGTATTTTCTAAAGTGAGAGAAATGTGTCCACACTGCCTTATTCCAGTGGAGGAATCCTACACAATAGGTTATAAACAAAGACAGTGATAGGTGACCTGTACTAGCCTGCAGGGATCCCAGGAGATTATTGTGATGGCCTAATGTAGGCATTTGGCCTAACGTACATATTTTGAATAGTTCCCATCTCTGAAAGGGTGGGAAATCATTTAGGTTTGGAGAAATGTATTGGTTTTCATATTATTTAGCCATATTTGAGGAAGTTTATTTTAAGCTTGTTGCACATTTAATTCTCTCAACACATTGCCTTGAATCTAGCTGAACCAAACAAAAAAATTTAAAGAGAATTATCTCTCTAGATTATTTGTTAATTGTGCTAGTTTTAGAACTGTATTTCAAGTTAGATTTCAAGCTACCTAAAGAACTAAAACATTTGGGCAGTAATTTAAATGGTAACCCAGTTGTTTCTCAGTTGTATTCTAGTCTAAAGCCTTTGAGGAGATCCCAAACCATGAGGCTTCTCAGCAGTGGAGGGAGTGAAGGCTTCACAGGACCAAGTTTAAAACAAAGCTTAAATGACCTTGCAGAAACAGTGTGGAGCTCAGCTGCCACTCCGGAGTAGGCCCTGCCCTGGCAGGTGTTGTCACTGGAGACTGGAGAGCTCTCTGCCCACAGATAGCTACTAACTCATTTAGGGGACTATATACCTCAGCACTGGATGCTTATTTGGACTAAGGAGTTTAATCCTAGGTTGATTCACACTTTTTCTTCCTTTTTTTTTTTTTTTCTTTTGAGACTGAGTCTCGCTTTGTCGCCCATGTTGGAGTGCAGTGGCTCGATCTCAGCTCATTGCAACCTCCACCTCCCTGGTTCAAATGATTCTCCTGGCTCAGCCTCCTGAGTAGCTGGGATTACAGGCGTGCACCACCGCGTCTGGATAATTTTTGTATTTTTAGTAGAGATAGGGTTTCACCGTGTTGGCCAGGCTGCTCTTGAACTCCTGGGATCAAGCGATCCTCTGGCCTCAGTCTGCTGAGTTGCTGGGATTACAGGCATGAACCATTGCACTTGGCTAATTTTTTTTTTAACTTTTTTGTGGAGATGGGGTCTCACTATGTTGCCCAGGCTTGTCTCAAACTCCTGGCCTCAAGAAATCCTCCCTCCTTGGCCTCCCAAAGTGTTGGGTTTATAGGTGTGAGCCACCATACTTGGCCAGTTTTGTTTCTGGACAAATGTTTGAGTTGAATTAGAAAGCTCTGAAGTAATGCAAACAATAAAAAAGGGCTATTTCTGAATACTTAGTAGGATGGGCTTTGCATGTGTGACTGCATTTATTCCTCACAACTGTTGTTTGTTCATTTCATAGATAAGGAAATTGCAGCTCAGGGAGGTTAAGCAGCTTGCCCAAGATCACACAGTAAGAGTAGTAGGATCTAGATTCAAATCAGAGCCTGCAGTTTTTAACCACTGCCTCTTAGAAAGTACCTACTTTGGCCCGGCGCGCGGCAGCTTACGCCTGTAATCCCAGCACTTTGGGAGGCTGACGCGGGCGGATCACGAGGTCAAGAGATCGAGACCATCTGGCCAACATTGTGAAACCCCGTCTACTAAAAAACAAACAAAAAAACCCCACAAAAATTAGCCTGGCGTGGTGGCACGCGCCTGTAGTCCTATAGCTACTCGGGGAGCTGAGGCAGGAGAATCGCTTGAACCCAGGAGGCGGAGGTTGCAGTGAGCCGAGATGGTGCCACTGCACTCCAGCCTGGCGACAGAGCGAGACTCCGTCTCAAAAAAAGTACCTACTTTGAAATCCGTTTTGTTGGAGGAAGAGGAAGGAAGAGAAATGTGGAGAACTGAAGCATTGCTCAGGGAAGACAGACCTGTATCAGGTGCCTTTCTTGCAGCGTCTAGGGGAAGAGGAGTGGAGGGGCAAAGGGAAAAAAACCAGGCAGGAAGGTCAAAGACCAAGGCTTTAGAGGTTACATGATAACTACCTCCACTTAAGGTGAAATCTAGGTTTCAATAGTCTTTATAATTTAGGCAGAAAACAAAACAAAATCTGAAATATGTAAGATAGAAAATACACCTTAAAATGACTACCCTGAGTTTCTGGCTATTGCAAACTCTTCCCCAGCCTACTTGGATTTTCTGCTGCATAGACATAACCTTAATCTATGACTGTGTCTCTAGAGTGGAAGAGTAAAGTTGACAGGTGAGAATTACTTAGGAAGTTTAATTAATGAATATAACTGAAGTAGGTTTTTGGGGTTTTATCCATGTTTTTTAGCACCATATTTTAAAATAAATATTGTTCCAACACACTACTTTGTTTTCCCTGAGTGGAGATAGCTTGGCAGCTATCTTAAATTCAATCAGGCTTTGGAAATTTTTGTTTGTAAATTGAATGACTAAGTACTAACTTCATTACCAGTGCTTATTTGCACTTTTGACACACGGGCTCAGCCTCTTCTAGAGCATTTAGTTGGCGAATCAACATCTGATCTCTGCAAACTAACAAATCATCAGCTGTATACAGAGGCATGTTCATCTGTGGTATCGTTAGCCCCGGGAATAGTAGTAAACTAGCTAGTTAATGCTCTATGGCTGTCCTCTTATATAAACCTTATGGTAAGATCACTTTATAAAATATAGCTGTACAGGGAACAACCTACCCAAACCTCTGATCCTAAATTAGAGAGGAGTTTCTGACATGTTGGAGGGAGGGCTCTGGTGCCAGACTGTCTGCGTTCAAATTCAGACTCTGTCTGTAACCAACCACATAACCTTGGATATGACAGTAAGCTCTTGATGACTCAGTTTTCTCATCTGTAAAATGGTAATAGTAGTAGTAGCTTTTCTCATAGCATTGATTAAATGAGATAACACGTGACATGCTTAGAACAGAGTTTGTCAAGGTGAAAATTCAATAAAACTTGGCCATCATTAGCTGTGACTTTTATCAGAAAGTTTCAGGCTTCAGTGGTCTAAGTCAAACTGGCAGTTTTAATACGATTAACCGAGGAATTGCCCATTTTGGTGACCTTGAAGTGCTTAAGAGCATGGAAACGAGTTATTTCAGAGTCAATCTTAAATTGATGTTCCTTAGGCAAGTTATTTAACGTCTTTGAGCTTCAATTTTCTTATCTACTATAAAATAGTATAATATGATATCCCAAATTTAAACTGTAACAGTACCCATTCTAAAGTGTCATTGTCAGAATTAAATAAGTTAACATATATAATATATATAAAGTCATTAGCATATGCTTGGTAGATAATTAGCCTCCATTCTTACCATGACATGGCCCAAATTAACAATTAGAATTAGATCGTTCTGGCTGATGGAGCAGGGATTTTTTGTTTGTCTCCTCTCCTGTCGGTTCTGAAATTTGTGTCTGTTAATTTACATGAAAATACCACTTTGTGATGGGAATTATTTGACTGGACAAAATCAGTTAATTGTCAGATCTATAGTTTGTGCTGTCTTGGAACATTGTCTAAATGAGTTCTTGATTTTAATACCTGACTTCTCGAACATTCCATTTAAATGAAAACATTTCTTTTATAGTTAATATTGCCAGAAAGCAGCAATTTTTTTTTTTTACTTGACATATTTTCAAAATGAGTCATTCTGTACTGTGAAGTTGAGTGGGCCCTTGGGTGGTAAACTTTTCAAGAGAGTTTGTTTTACTAAATGGGGATCTGCAGGAAGTGGGCATCCATGTGATGAAGATACAAAGAGCTTGTTCTTGCTTAGGTAGAAAGAAGGGGGTGTGGTGTTGTACTGGGAACAATGCGAGGGAACCAGAGGCTCAGGCAGGGCCAAGGGGAAGGAAGAGTGAAGTTTATCTGACTAGAAATCAGCTGGGTCAAATGAAGATGGAAATTGCAAAAGGGTCCCGAGGAGTGGGGTATGAGTGGGGCTGTGTGGAATGATGAGCTTGCAGGGATGAGACCATATCTCTTTGGATGGGGATAAATTCCACTATTACTTAATGCTTGATAGTTTACTAAATAGTTACAGTATTACCTTATGTAATCCTCATGATAAACCATACAGAATTGGTACTGTCCTCACTCTTCAGGTGAAGATGGTGGAGAGATCTAGGCTAACGTGGCCAGTAGGAAGCAGGGCTTGGATTTGACACCAGTTGTCCAGACTTGGAATCCAGCATTCATTCCATTATGTAGTGGTTATTGAAAAGCTGTATGCAGGGAAGTCCTTCTCACCCAAAAGAGTAGCCAAAGGAAAAGATGGATGTGTGGCTGAGACAGGAGAAAGGGGAAAAGCAGGGGTACTGAAATACATGCTGTGTGGTAAAAGTGGGGATACTGGGAAGGCAGAAAATAAGGAAGACAGAGCTAGAGAGAGAGCATCCAGAAGGCAGGTTCCATGGCATTACAGGTGAAAGAAGGGTTAGGTGAGGGCATGGGCAGTTGGGAAGAGGGACCAGAATTTCAGTCTCAGATTCCCTACAGACTTGGGTCATAGCAGAGCAAATCTGCACTGTTATTCCTGGGTCTTATGGATGAATAGACTGTTTCATGGTATAGTCTAATGGCCAAAACCATGGGCTCTGACTTCTTGGTTGAGTGCCCATTCTGCCATAACTAGCAATGTGACTTTGGGCAAGTTAATCCTCTGTGCCTTAATTTCCTCATCTATAAAACGTGGATAACAGTAGTACCTACTTCATAAGGTTATTATGAAGATTAAAGGAGATAAGACCCATGAGACCCTCAGAACAATGTGTGACACACAGCAAGCACAGAATATCATTTTTATCCATCCAGCTTGTCCTAGCAGGTAAATACAGCCGGCTGGAGAATAGGTGGACCAGTACTAGAAAATGTTCTTGCTGCCCGGAGGCCATAGGTAACAGAAGGAGGTTGTTATGTAGTTACTTTGCTGAGCCAGTGGGGTCATGGTAATATCATGGGAGTTTGTAAGGTTCTCTTGAGTTTTGACTAAGCTTCCATGAGTGCTGGGTGAGGTAAGCCCCTTCGACAAACTGGGTGCTGGGTGATGTAAGCCCCTGTGACAAACAGATCTGCTTGTTCATTGAGGAGCTACAACCCTGCAGGGTCCTCTCAAGAAATAAGGGAACCGAATGTGGATAACATGTGGATTGTACTTTATTTCTGTTTTGGTTTTGACAGGAAACAGCAAGAGATTGACTCTAAAGATGCTATTATTTTGCATCAGTTTGCAAGACCTAACAATGGTGTTCCAAGTTTATCTCCTTTCTGTTTAAAGATGGAAACTTATTTAAGGATGGCTGACTTACCGTATCAGGTACTTGTGTGCAAATATGTTTTCTTTTTATGACATCAGTATCAGGGGATGAGTATTTAACTAAAGGGGGGAATATTTCGTCTCACACAGTGGATGCCAGAGGGGATGGGAGCTGAAACTAGCAGTGCCTAATCCTTAGTAAGAGGGAAATAAAATACTTGATTCCAGGGTCTGTTGATAATGATGGATCAAAAAGGTCTAAACTTTTGAGAGATTCAGCGCCATGATATTTTTCTTTAACAGAGTATTCTTTGGGCTGGGCACGGTGGTTCACGCCTTTAATCCCAGCACTTTGGGAGGCCAAGGCAGGCGGATCACTTGAGGTCAGGAGTCTGAGGCCAGCCTGGCCAACATGGTGAAACCCTGTCTCTACTAAAAATACACAAATTGGCTGGGCTAGTGGCAGACGCCTGTAATCCCAGCTACCTGGGAGGCTGAGGCAGGAGAATCACTTGAACCGGGGAAGCAGAGGTTACAGTGAGCCGAGATTGCACCACTGTACTCCAGTCTGGGTGACAGAGCAAGACTCCATCTCAAAAAAAAAAAAAAAAGTATGCTTTGGTTAATAGTTTGGACAGGCCTACTGAGCCTTGACAAAGATGGGTGTGCCACTGCCTGATGTGGTTTTTTACTTTAGGTTTTAGTTTATTGACAGCATCGTATTTTGTCCCTCATGAATCTTGGGGGCAGAAGGCCCAGTAGGCCACGAGGTAGATATTTGTGTATGTGGTGAGAGCTTTTCCACAGCACTCCATGTTCTGTTTGTGTGACTTTCAGGGAAACACTTGTTCATTTTAGCAGTAAATAAGGAAGAGGAGTGTACTTAAAGGTATATATTTCTCTCTGAGTAATGCTTGAGCTGTGTCTCACAAAGTCAACACGCTGTGTTTTCATAGTCATTCAATTCTATGTATTTTTTTTAAAAGTTCACTTATGTTTTTATTTTTAACCAAGTTCTAGCCATATGGAACTATTTTAAGCTTTGATTTTTGTTATCATTTTTAATTTGATGGTCAGAGAAGATAGTCTCTGTGATATTGATTCCTTGGAATTCACTGAAGCTTTAGCCTGGTTTGTAGTTACTTTTTTAAAATGTTGAAAATAATTACATATTCTCTGTTTGGATATAGAGAGCTCTCTATAGATCTACTTGCTTAAACACGTTTAGTGTATTATTTAGACCTTCTGTATTTCTGCTTATTTTTTTGTCTGAAAGGAGCATGTTAAAATATTCAAGTGTATCTGTTGATTTGTCTCTTTCCTGTCATTCTGTCTGTTCTTGCTTTATGTTAGAGTATTTATATATTTTAGGTTACATTGTTAGGTACATATAAAAGTTCACATCTTTTACTCTTGTTTATTTTTCTAGTATGTATCCTCCATTGATGTCTCTTCCTATTTTTTAAAAAACTTGAATTCTGTGTTATCAGATATTGAGATAGATTCTCCAGCCTTCTTTTGGTTCATATTTGCTTAGGATATCTTTCTTCATTCTCTCTCTCTTTTTCTCGCCCTCTCTCTTTTTGTATTTATTTCTCTCTTATATCTAATTGGAGAGTCTTTTAATTGGCAACTTTAATCCATTTATACTTATTGAAATGATTGTTTTATTAGAACTTATTTCTAATATCTTATTTAATATTTTTCTCCTTACTATACTTCATTTTAAATTTCTTCTCATTTCCTGCTTTCTAATAGATATTTTTTCTCATTTAAAACAAATTATATTTTTGTTGTTATTGTAGTTACTCTTAAGACCCAAATTTGTGTTTATGCTTATTAATTTGTTAAATGAATTAAAGTCTGTATTTATTCTGTTATAATACAAACACATTAGCAGTTTACGTGTACCTTGGGTCTCTTCCTTTCTTCCCAGCCCTGATCCCAATTGTGTTGCTGTTGTCTAAGATTTTAATTCTGGAATTTTTTGGCCGGGCACGGTGGCTCACGCTTGTAATCCTAGCACTTTGAGAGGCCGAGGAGGATGGATCCCTTGAGGCCAGGAGTTCAAGACCAGCCTGACCAACATGGCGAAACCCCATCTCTATTAAAAATACGAAAATTAGCCAGGTGTGGTGGTGTGTACCTGTAATCCCAGCTACTTGGGAGGCTGAGGCAGGAGAAGTACTTGGACCCGGGAGGCAGAGGTTGCAGTGAGCCAAGATTGTGCCATTGCACTCCAGCCTGGGTGACAGAACCAGACTCCATAAAAAAAAAAAAAAAAAAAAAAAGGAATTTTAGCAATTCTTATCCTTTCTTTTTTATCCTTTTTAGGCAACAAACTTTAGTATGTTATTTGACTAGCCTTATTTCCCATATATCTTATTATAAAGGATTTATCTTTTTATTTGAGAACTTCCCTGATGAATATCTTTAGAGTGAGTCTTTATGTGGCAAACCTTCAGTGGCTTTGCATGCCTGAGAATATAGTTATTATACTCTCACATTTGATAAATTTATGTTCAAAGTTCTTTTCCTTCTATATTTTAAAAATATTAGGCCAGGCTGGTGGCTCATGCCTGTAATCCCAGCACTTTGGGAGGCTGAGGCTGGTGGATCGTCTGAGGTCAGGAGTTCAAGACCAGCCTGGCCAACATGGTGAAACCCCATCTCTATTAAAAATACAAAAATTAGCTGGGCGGTAGTGGCGTGTGCCTGTAATCCCAGCTACTCGGGAGGCTGAGGCAGGAGAATCGCTTGAAGTGGGGAGGTGGAGGTTGTGGTGAGCCGAGATCACGCCACTGCACTCTAGTCTGGGAGACAGAGTGAGACCCTGTCTCAAAAAAAAAGAAAATTGATGTTAATCTCATTCTTCTTTCTCTTTCTCTCTAAATTATCTTAGAATTTGTATTTAATCTTAATATTCTCAAGTTTCAATATGGCATGTGTTGGTGTGGGTCTTTATATATCCTGTTTGGTCCTTTATAAACTCTTATTATCTGAGGTCTTTCATCTCTTTTGAATTCTGGAGAATTAATTATCAATTTTGTTAAAATATTTCCTTTTCTTTTATGTTTGTTTTTCTTTTCCCTCTTCTTCCTTGTTCCCTATTATCCAGATTTTGGAAACTCTGCTTCTATTTTCTATGTCTCTCTACTCTCTACTTGAATTCTTTTCTGCTTCTTTCTGGAAGCATTCCTCTCTCTGAGCTTCCTTTGCATTGCTCTATGTGTGTTTGTTGTTGTTGTTTGTTTGTTTTTGTATCCATTATGCTATTTACCCCATCTATTGTGTTCCTTATTCCAACTTTTGTATTTTTCTTCTTAATGTTTTCTTTCAGTTTGTATTAGTAATCTCTTCCTTTATCCATTGGAGGATATTTATTATGTTACTTAAATTTTTTGGTCTGTCCCAATAATTCTGCTTCATGTCGTATAATTCAGTGCACTGCCCTTCTCATAGTAGTGGTACTTATCTAGTTATTTTGGTTTGAGAACTCCTTTTACCAGGGATGCCAACTTCTCTGCCTGGGAATTTGTACTGGACGAGGGCTAAAGCCCAGGCCACAGGTCCTGTACCTCTGAGGGAGTTTAAAAAAAGAAAGGAGGTGAGCCTCAGGCATCCCCAAACTACTCTGGTCCTTTTGCTTTGCTGCCATTCCCCCAAATGGCTCCTGCAGCTCCGGGGTTCACCTTTAGACTCTTATAAAGCACCAACACTGGGAGGAGGTATTTTCCTCAGGTTGTAACAGACCAACTGGGAGGTTGGAGGGGGTGGGCTCCCCACTCAGCCAAGCTTTTGCCTGCCCCAATAATGATATTACTCCTCCAGCTCCTGACTCCCCATAGCCTGTGCTTTTTGAGATAGCTTCTGTAGAGAAGAGGGGAAGGGGGTGGCAGTGATCCTTCTAAGGCAATGCTGGGACACCATGGTTGACATGCTTTAGTTTGGTAAGTGCTATAATGCAGGGCCTCTGGGGACATGGTGAAGTGGCACCGAGTCCAGACTTCGGATTGGGGCATCAGGGAGGACATGGGATGTTTGGGAACAGGAAGTGATTAGAAAGGGAATCTTTATAACTGGTAACTGGAATGCATGGGGGGAGTCCAGAGAGAGCAGCAGGGAGAAGATTACTTAGGACTTGCTAAGACAGCAATGGAAGAAACAAGGTCTGCAGCATCTAAATGCATTGGCTCATATTTGAAAGATCGTTGTTCAGCTTGGTTTTGGCAGTCAGCACTTGAAGATGTGTGTCACTTGGAGACTCAAATTGAAGGAAGAGATTGCTACCCAACAGCTACCTGTCTCTATTCCATCATCACTCTTGAACAGATTGCCTCACTTAGCCATGACAGCTTTGGGGCAGTGGGAGCCCAAAACCTGAATTTTGTGCAGTGCTGTCTCTGATTACTTTCAAGAACTTTTGTGCTCCCCCACCTTTGATAAAATAATCCTGTCGTTTGTGGTGGCTGCAGCAGCTGCCAGGCTTTTCTGCACTTTCCTTTCTGCCCTTCAAGCCGTCAAGCCCTGACTGCTGTAGACCTGTCTTTACCTGCAGCATATCTGCCTTTGTTCACATTTTAGAGCAGCTGCCTGTAGTTAGTGTAACTGGAGCAGCAGGACTCATGCCTTGCTGTGAAGCCTGCAGCTATTACAGAGGTCTTCAAGAAGGGGCTTGCTTACCCCTTCCAAAATTATTATTTGTTATTAAGTATATTTTTAAAAAAAGAATTGTATAGGGCTGTTTTTCTTCTGTGAAGTCTGTATGGAAAATAAATGGAGTGGGCAATGCTCCAGGGGTGTGACAGATTTTAGGTAAAAAAAAATGGTGCTGTGGTTTAGAAAGGGATGCTGTGTTGCAACGGTTAGGGGTACCTTGATTCCCATTCCCTTAGTGGGGATTTGTACTGATGCAGTGGGTGTCTGGGGAGTGCTGGGGAGTTCATTTCTTGGATTGATCAGTAGAGAAATATTTTGTCATGGACCCAGGGAGCTGTACCCTTTGCCCCTTCTTTTGCCTGTGCCATTTTAAAAAGATTAAAATGCCAGTGCTCCTCAGATCATGACTTTATATTAGAAGCTCTTGAATTTTTTAACCTAAATGGAATGGGAATGAATATTTGATGACCATTAGTTAGGAAATCAAAAGGCTTATTTTTAAAAAAAGCTCAATGTATTGAACACAGTTATTATTATTTTTCTCTATCAAGATATGAATATTGGTAGTTCAATTTTAAAATCTTTTTATTTTGTAATAATGATAGACTTATAGGAAATTGCAAACAATGTACAGGGAGGTCCTGGGGATGTGGTTAATTTTTTAAAAAACACAAAAATAGCTTTACTGCATTTTCTGATTATGTGTAGATGATATATGGTCCTTAGAAAAATTCCAAACAGTACAAAACAGTGTATGTGGAAAGTGAAAATTACCTGATATCCTACGAGCTGGAGATTATTATCATAACTGATATTTTTGGCTTTTCTTCCTTACATTTCTTTAGACATGTAAAGACACCTACATCATTTGATATAAGTAGTTGTATAAGAAGCATACATTTCACAAAAGAATTCTTTTTAAGTGAGAGAAAGAAAAAAGAAAATGTTTCCTTTGGAGCTGTCTGCCTCAGCTGTCAGCCCTAACTTTTGATGTTGTATTTATTTGCTGACCTTGTCTCCCCTCCTGCCTCTTTTTTTTTTTCCTAAGCTGCAGACAAAAGAATAGTACAGTGCACACCCCCATGCCCTTTACCTAGATCGTGAATGGTTAATGTCTCCTCCTTTGCTTTCCCCACTCTTTACATCTACATTTGTGAACAGTGTTTTTGGTAAACCATTTTAAAGTAAGTTGCAGAAATCCTGACACATCATCCTGCAATACTTCAACATGCAGCTCCAAAAAATAAGGACATTCTTCTTCAAAACTAAATAGATAGTGGGTGCGTGGATTTTTTCAGTGTGTCATAATCCACACAGACTGCTCAAATTATTTCAAATTTAGCCAGTGGAAGATGACTCCAGATAGCTCCTGGGCAGAGTGAATGTAATAGATAGATATTTACCTGAAACCTATGGGTATTCTGGCCAGTATATCAAATCAGAGTCCCAAGACTCTGGTATCTCTCTTAGAGTCTCAAGTTCTTCAAAATACTTCTGATGAAGGCACTGCACATCTTCTCATTTCATCCTAGCAACTGTTATTATCCCCACTCTACAGATGAGGACACTGAGGTCCAGGGAGGGTTAAGGGAGACCCAGGGAGGTCCAGGGTCACTCCGTGAATAAATGATGGAATGAGATTTTGAAATCCAAAGCCTATGGCCTTCACTGCCATGCTAATAATGTAGTATATGTGTGGCTGCATCAGTCTCACCTGGGGCAGACTTGCAGAAGGAAACATCAGCTTGGAAAAAATATGGAGGATTTACCTCTTTATCTTCTCAAAATTACTTTCAGAAACTACCCTCAGTGGATTAGTCAGAGTCTAATTGCTTAAATAAAAATAGTCCAGGAGTTCTTCAATAGATTTAAAGAAGTTAAGAAAAAGTATTATTTTTGGCTGGGTGTGGTGGCTCATGCCTGTAATCCCAGCACCTGGGGAGGCTGAGGAAGGAGGATCACAAGGAGTTTCCTGGGCAACACAGCGAGACCCTGTCTCAATTTTGTAGAAATAAAAATATTTAGGAAAAATTAAAGGGAGAAAAAAAGAAAAAAAATCAACATTTTTAACATACTTTTTTTGGGCCAGGCATGGTGGCTCATGTCTGTAATCCCAGCACTTTGGGAGGCTGAGGCAGGCAGATTGCTTGAGCCCAGGAGTTTGAGACCAGCCTGGGCAACATAGTGAGACACCCGTGTCTGTAAAATTTTTTTTTATTTTAAAAATTATACGACCACATTTAGAGAAATTGAAATGTATGGGAAAAAAAGATCACCGGCATCTCACCTATAGTCTTCCCAATTACTTGTGACATGTTTGTAAGTCTCTTTTTTTTTAAAATGTTTTTTCATTCATCTATGTTTACTTAGATGTAATCAGAGTGTCTCTAAAATGTTGTCTCTTGCTTTTTACCTAGCAATCAAAATATAATTGTTGATCATGAAAACATACTAGAACTTCCATTTACATAAGAATTGATTATTAATTTTGTTAGAAATACCAAAATTGTTAGAAATAGATAATTGGTGCTGCGAAGAAAAGTCAGCATGGAGACAAAAGATCTCTCAGGAAGGCCATCTTTACTTTCTGCAGAAAAGGTGCTCAATCACAGATGGAACAATGGCGAGAGCACACCTGAACAAAGAAAAAGCAGACATATTTATCCCTTACGCATTTGGGTTGTCCTTACTGCTGTGTCCTGCATCCATTGGCTGGAGCAGGGCCTCACAGTCTTAAACTGATGCCCGATTTGCTGATAGCCTAAAACTTTCCTAAATAGGTAAGTGAAAGGAAGAACAAAGAAGTTGCTTACGAAAGGTTTAAGGAAGCAATAGCATTTCCAAATAAGGAAGGGGCATAGGCTGTGAGCTGGAACGTGCCTGTGAGCATGTCCAACAGTTACGTAGGATAGGGCTTAACAAAGAGTTACTAGCACAAAGCAAGGAGGCTTGAAGAAAGTTAGTCTTTAATAAAAAGAAACTATTATTTCTAACACTTATGATTTATTCTTTAACAAGAAGGGGAACTTTGAAGAGGAAATTTTTTACTTTCTACAATTTTTATTACTACTATTTTAAAAAGTAGTCAAGATAAACATGTAACAAGTTATCAGGGGAAAGGGTGGTCTAGAGGTAAGGCCAGATGTGTAAATAGTTACTCTGTAAGGGTAGGGGACTACACACCATACAGTGGAAGCACAGAGGAAGGGCAAATAATGGTTGTATCCTGGGGAAATAATTATGTAACAAGGTGAGATTTGAACTGATTTGTTTTAAAAAGCATGGATATAGGACTTTACAGAGGGTGGAGAAAAGGATTCTTGTAAAAGGTGAAGAGTGCATAAAGTCAGGGAGGTGGGCAAACACCTTGACCTGGCTGGGTAGGGGTAGCTGGAATTAGGAGACCAGAGGGACTTAGATAGCCAATGAGACCGGGCAGGTGGGCAGTGGCTAGATGGTGGATGTGGGTCTAGATTGCTGTGTGAAAAGGGGTAGTTTGTAGACTAGAGCTATTAAAGCCATTGGATAATTTTGAGCAGCAGCGTTCTTGGGTCTCATTTGCATTGTAAACAGTTCCCTCTGGTGGCAGTGTGGAGGATAGATTGCATCTGAGAATGACAAGAGTCCAGAAAGGGATGTATTAAGAGGATATGGATGGCATCAAGAGAAATCTGAAATAGGGGCTATGGTATGTGGTAAGTTTACATCTTTAGTATACAGATTACAAGAATGTTAGATGTATTAGCAGCTTCTAGAAGTAGGTGACATTTCTCCTGGGGTAACATCAGGGATAATGTCTAGAGATCCATATGTGGTTGTGCAAGTTGCTCACTGCACAACAGTGCCTGGCCAAAGGGTGGGGGTGAAATCTTGACCCAGTTCTATTTGCCAAGCCGCAAACCTTGGAATGGACCATTTCCACCCAGAGGAGGTTCTATTTTCTTAATTGCACAAAGGCAATATGACTAACAGCAGCCCCTATAACATCCCCAATAGTTATTACCCTTTTTGAGGTTAGGCCTACTTTTATTCTTTAGAATAAGCAATGAGATAAATATCAAGACACCAGGAGGCAGAGATCAGTCCAAATCCCCGTTATTCTCTCTACCAATGACAACTTGTCAAAAACACAGATTCTGGGCACTATCCCCAGGATTCTGATCCAGTAGTCCAGGCTGGGGCACAGGAACCTGCATTTTTAAGAGGCACAGTAGTTGAATATGTTGTACATACTTTGCTACACCTAAGCATTATAATTTTTGGGGACCGTTCATTCATAGTGTAGTGGTATTATTATTCAGGTGTGAGATACTGGTTTTCAAGTGAGGTCTTTGGTTAGTTGTCCAGTCAATACAGGCCTCCTTGTGGTTTATATTGACTTTTTGAGTTTTTGAATTGTTTGTACATTAAAACTAGACTGACTATTACTAGGGTCATTTCAGCCCTTTCAATCTGCTACCCCTTACCCCCATCATCCCTTGCCCCTGGGGTCTTTTTTTTCCTTTTCCATCATAAGCCAAAGTCCACGATAGAATCTGTGGGAGAATAAAGTGATATCTTTATGTGAGGTTAAACAAGTTTTTTTCCTGAAGTAACCATGTATTGTCTTAAGGAGTTTATGCCCTGAGTTCATTCACTTGAGTAGTACTGTCACTATCAAACATAAGGTTGGAATGTTTGTTTCTATTAATCATGCAGTGGAATTTAAATACAATATTGCTTTTCTCTTTTTAAAAATGTACTCTGCTTAGAACTATTTTGGTGGAAAACTCTCTGCTCAAGGGAAAATGCCTTGGATTGAATATAATCATGAAAAAGTTTCTGGCACAGAATTCATAATTGACTTTCTGGAAGAGAAGCTTGGAGTGAATTTAAACAAAAACCTTGGCCCTCATGAAAGAGCCATCTCCAGAGCGGTGACCAAGATGGTGGAGGAGCACTTCTACTGGTGAGTCCCCTCTGGGGTGTCCCCGTCCTTTCGAAGTAAGCCCCAGGTTCTGTTTCACTTTTCAGATCCTCTTTCCACCGTTTCAGCAGTTTTCTACCTTAACAGTTTCGGATGAAGTGAGTGGCTCAGTCATCAAAGTTATTATGACTGTGAAGTTTCTGGTTACCTAGACCAGGGGTCAGCAAACCATTTCTGTACAGGACCAGCCAGTAAATATTTTAGGCTTTGCTGGCTGTACGTCTCTTTTGCAACTAGTCAACTCTGCTGTTTTATCACAGAAGCAGTGATAAGAGAGTATGCCAACAAATGAGCATGACCGTGTTCTGCTAAAACTTTATTATGGGTACTGAAACTTGAATTTCATTTAATGTACCATATCCTTCTTTTGATTTTTTTCAACCATTTAACAATGTAAAAACTTCTTAGCCTGTGGACTATAATTTGATGGGCCTTGATCTAGACTAGAACTCACTGAGTTGAGGAAGATAGTTGAATTGATTGGACTCAGGGCTTTTTACCAATACTGTATAAACTGTTGAATTAAAATAATATTATGTCAGAGACTCAGAGGAGGGAATGGAAGACTAAGTCAAGATAGAATTCCTAGGGTCAATTGTCCATAGATAACAAGAGCTTCTGTATGTTCCAGAAGTAAAGCATACTACTCCTTTCTGGATTTTCTTTGGCTTGATTGCAAACTCCTAGTTTGTATTCCCCAAGTTTGAACCATCACACGAGTTGATGAGTTTTCCCTGTTCTGTTTTTTGTAGCCTTGAGCTGGCGGTGGTACCATGTGAGTTAAGAAGATATGGTTCTTGCTTTACAAACTCATTAGTCTATGGTTTTTGAAATTTTTCTTTCATCCATTTTCTGGAGTTTCTGCACCTTTCTCTACACCCCAGTAGATAGAGAAAGTTTCTCTTGATTTCTGCAAACTTTATCTTTTTCCAAAGATTGAATTAAGAGTTGTTAAGCCCATTGTTTTTGGCATTAATTGTTATCTGCAGGCAGATGCTGGCCCAGTAGCTTTTATTAAACCTCTCCCGCTGAGTGATATCCTCAATATGGGCTTGACTGGAGAAGGTTCTTTCTTCTCCTCCTCCCCTATTTCATTTATTCTACTCTCTTTCTAAATGGAGAACTTGCTGTTCCTATCTCTTGGATTTTAAGTGACCCTCTTCTTTTTCTCTTTTTACTTTTGATTCTTGCCCAGTTTATTCCAGGGCTGACCTAAGCTCCACTTCTACCCACCACTCCCTAAAGAGGTGATAGAGTAGGCAGCAAGGAGGGGGCTGGGGAGAGGCTGGAGACAGGGGTACAGATTAGTGTGGAAGTAATCAGACTCAGTGTTCATGGAATGAACCAGGTATTTTCCTTACAATAGTGGTAGGGAACTGTTGGGGCTCCCCTCCCAAGGTGTGCAGCAGTCACAGTCACAGGGAACCAGAATGCATGACTGCATCTGACATGCATAGCTTCCAGGAAAAACTTAGCTTCTGAGAAAGGCCTTGCGAAGAGCCCATCACACTTGCTTACTAGGCTCCAGTCAGTTCTGCTGCTGTGAAGGGAAAGGAAGGACCTGCACAAGGCCACGTGACCCATGTTCCTTCCCTCGACAGAGGCCCTCCAAGGCACTACCTCATTTGATTGATGGGCCCATTGATTGCCAGAGCTGTTGCTTTGTTAGCTGTCTGAAAAGCTGAAAGCCATACATTTTAGTTGTCACTTTGGCTACAACTCTTTGATTTCCATAATGGTTTAGAAAATATATATTCCCCTTAGAAAGTTTTTGACCCAGCAACATTTCCAACTACCACACATCACTATTTTTTGTTCTGTGTGTGCGTACATATCATTTTACATAACTTTACTCCTTGCTAAAAATTCATCCCTGCCCTGCCCTTTCCATCTCTTCCTTCACCAGCCCCGAGCTGATACTCCATGCGGGGTGGAGTGTGGGTGGGGTAAGGGATGGAGGTGAGAGTTGGGAAGTGGTACCCCGTGGGAAAAGATCTTAATTTTGTGGACTACAAATTTCCAAAGGCTTGGGGATCTGCTTGGGTCATATGTAGACTCTTCTAAGGACAATTTTATTTCTCTAATTCACTTTTTAATTTGAAAAATGTTGGAGGGGTTAGCTATTATTTCTTGCTTATGTCTTCTCAATGGTTAATTTGAGGAAAAAATAGTGAGGGTGGGAGGCAAGGTCTTGATTGAGATGCACATATCTAATAAACTTTCAAAGCAACACTGCTAATTCCCACAGTTCTATTTAGTCCCTAGTAGCAGAAGGAAAAACAAATCTGTTTCTTAAGGTTCTCAAGCCTTTAGCCAACTTCTTGCTTTGGGGAAAACCTGAAGAGACTTTTAGGAGAGCTCTAAATCCCAATGGAGAAAAGACCCTCCTTTCCCCATGCCCCAGGCAGAGAATCTTCAGATACTCTTCCCTCAGGCACCTCCCATCCTCTGCTCTTCTGGTTCCAAGGCCACACACAAAATGTCTACCTGTGGAAGCTGAGGCCCAGCATATAGGGATCTGACCAAAATTTGTAGGAAAATATTATAGGTATGAGCTTTCCGTGATATCTTGTTAAATTCTAACAGTCAGTGAGCTCCTAGGTTGTGTCTATACTCACATAGCCAGAAGAGGAAATTTAATAAGCCTACCTTGTTTGACTCAATTGATTCAATTATGTGGAGTTTTCATATGTTTATGTTGGCCTGAAACCTTAAAAACACCCCAGGCATGATTTTATGAAAAGCAAAGGCAATGGAAAGCTAGCATTGTTATATTACATCACATAATTCTGAAACTGTTTTAGGTCTATTCAAATAAACACACTCAGCTCTAAAGTGGCTTTTCTTCCACTTGAAATCTATACACTGATGTCCCCCTTGCATTATAAAAACTGTTACTGAAGATCAAGAACACAGTTTTTAAAAATCCCCTTTGTTGTACTGAATACATAAGTACAGAGAAGCTGGTGTAAAGGGAAGTCAACTTGACACGGGGTCAAATGACTGGAATGAAACTGATTTTGGGTGACACACACTGCAGCTTCTTCAGTGTGACATACTGCCCCCTTGTGGATGTCAGTGAGCGTCTTCAGAGTCTTTCAACCCCATATGGGTATCATTTTCAGACTATCTAGTTATTATAATATTTTCACCCATAAAAATATAGGCATTAGGGCCAGTCGTGGTGGCTCGTGCTTGTAATCTCAGCACTTTGTGAAGCTGAGGTAGGAGGATTGCTTGAGCCCAGGAGTTCGAGACCACCCTGGGCAACATGGCAAAACCCTCTCTCTACAAAACAGTCAGGTGTGGTGGCGACTGAGGCGGGAGGATCTTTTGAGCCCAGGAGTTCGAGGCTGCATTGAGCCGTGATCGCGCTACTGCACTACATCCTGGGCGACAGAGTGAGACCATGTCTCTAAAAAAAAATAACAAAAATTGTTCTAATGCCTGTGTGTATGTGTGCACGCGTGCACACATACACACAGGCATTAGAACAGTGAATTCAAACTTGCTTCTAGGTTGGCCATAATTTTACAATTTTGAGTGTAGTTCAGGAGATGGGGGAAGATGGGATAGTTTCATAAATTGACTTAACCAAGATCTTTTCTAAAAGCCAAGAGACTACTCTTTCTGTTTATAACTTTGTTCATATGTTCTCCTTTTCTTTCTTTTCTCCCCACCCCAGTTTTAGATGTAGCGAGGGCCCCTGTTTGGGGGAGTTGATGTAATGCTTGTGAAACTTGGTGAAACTACAGAAACATACCATATGCTCCTGTATTCTTGAGTAGATATTCAGAGTATAAGCAAAAGACAGCAAGGATGTAGCCCTATGCAGAGAAAGGCATTCTCATGAGTTGGAAGTCCAGGTGTTGATACTCAGTCATCAAATTGTAGTTTGTTATGGGTTCCCACTTATAAATATTCATTTCTATCACGGGCCAGGTATTAAGTTATAATGCATGATATCTTCATTAAAATACCAGGGGTCAGCTTCTCTTTGACCATTTTCTTGTTCACCTGTAAACATTTTTGAGCAGGTTTTGTTCCTCTGTTCTAAGATAGTCTTTTAAAAAATCTCTTTGACCCCATTTTTGCAGAAGAGATTAGATACATTCGTTGTGATAAGGAAAATTAGTATTTCAACTTCTTGAAATAGATCCTCAAAATGATAAGTTAATTGCTTAGCCTTGTCAGCTTTCCAAATTGACCCTCTCTGTCCTCTTCAGTTAATGATTCATGATTCCTTTTGCAGTGGGTCTCCTCCCAGTGGAGAGTGAAGAGCCATGGATTCCAAGAGAAAAGTGGCAGCCCCTTCTTCATTTTCCGTAGGCACATCTCTTTGTTCTCTTTTCCCATTTTTCTATTTAAGTATGTGTCATCTCTTAGAAACACTACTTAGCAGTAGCTGGCTCAAAAGCAAAGCCTTTTTTCATTTAATCAATAATTCATTATTTCTGCAAACTTAATGAATGAGTGTTAGTGGCCAGGATGGTATGTATACCTGTTATCAAGTGGCTCAAAGGCTGGAGGCAGACATCAAGGCTTTGTAATGGTTAATGCTGGGGGAGGGTTTGAAGAACCAAGAAAAGGCAGCCAGCTATCACTAGAGAGAAGGGGGGAAGGCTTTGCAGAGGAGGTATTGTCAAAACGGAATCCAAGGACAGTTGGGAGTGGCAGATGAAGGGGCTGGTGGTCGGGAAAGGTTAGGATGTCTAGGCAGAGGGAGCAACATCTGCACAAGTTTAGAGGCAAGAAGGAGGCATTTGGGGAGTATATTAGGCCGTTTGGGCTGTCATAACAGAATACTTTTGACTGGGTGGCTCATAAAGAGCAGAAGTTTATTTCTCACAGCTCCAGAGTCTGGCGAGTCCATGATCAAAGCATCAGTGGATTTGGTGTCTGGCGAGGGCCAGCTTCCTGACTCATAGATGGTCATCTTTCTCACTGTAACCTCATATGGTGGAAGGGCCAAGGCAGCTCTCTGGGGTCTCTTTTATAAGGGCACTCATCCCATTTATGAGGGCTCTGCCCTTATGACCTAATCATAATCCCAAAGGCCCCACCTCCACATACCAACACACTGGGGGTTAGGTTTCAACACATGAATTTTAGAGGGACATGAACGTTCAGTCTATAGCAGGGAGGTGCATGTAATTCTGTATGGCTTGTGCATGGGGTGCATGGGAGTCAGTGCTGGGAGATGGGGCCCAAGAAGGGCCAGGTCATAGAGGGGTTAGACTGTGGGGAGAGGGGCTGGCATGCCATGCAAAGGAGCTGTGGGGTATTAATGAATGACTCTAAGAAGCATTACTCTTATGATTAGGTTTGTGTTTAGGAAGCTCTTTGTATACATTGGAGCAAATCATTTCTGAAGGGCCTTGAGGGGATGTCAGGGGACCTGGTAGGAGGCCATGTTCCTTGTAGTTAAGAAATAATGAAGGGCTGAACTGCAGTGTTTATAGAGTTGGAGAAAGGGCAAATTCACAGGGTGACTGGCTGTCAGGAGTGAGGGAGAGGGGTCAGTGAAGAAAAACTCCTGGGATTCTGGCTTGGGTGAGGAGAATCAGGTTTGAATGGAACAAAGATGATGAGTGCAGTTTTGGAAATGTTGGTTTGCAGTTCCTGAGGGTCATCCACATAGTATCCATGGATATCAGGAGAGAGGGCTGGATATGGGAGACATGAGTGTGAAGTCATAGGTGTGAGTTAGATGGCTCCACGAGTGTGGAGTAGGAAGATAGGAGGAATGAAGATAGAGATCTTGGGAATATGTAAGGGGTGGAAGGAAAAGCAGTAGAGGTGTAAGCTAAGGGGAAGTTCCAAGAAAGAGGCCAATAGTGTCAGATACTTTAGAGAGTTCAAGAATATAGAAAGATGGTTTATTTAGATGTTGCACTGTTGACTTGAACAAGAGTGATTTTGGTGGAGTAGTTGGGGTAGAGGCTCCAACCATGTCAACAGGGTTTTCAAGAATCTTGATTGTGAAAGGAGGTGGATTCTTGTTTGCAATAACATGGAAACATATACAATGTGATATCTTCTATGTGTGGTAGTTGATTTAGGAATCTATGAAGCATCTATTTTCTTTGGTATTTAAAGTTTATACACATTTCACTGGCCTCAACCCTTAAAGACCTGCCTGACCCTCATTTACTTCTCTTCCCTGACACTGGTCGATAATATTGAGCACAGAGAGTGAAAGAGAGGAAGAAAAATCAAGGGCAAGATAGAAGGAGAAGAGAGAGAGACCAAACAGTTTCTGAGGTTACTTCTAGCTATGAAATTCTGAATCAAGCCAGTGTTTCGTCTTCTGTGTCCTGCATTCAGCCTGCTGCAGGTAGAGAATCCCACACCATTGCACTGGCAGAGACTCCTCCCTGCCAAGTTGTGTGGCCCAGAACAGCTGCCTCTCCCTTCATGCCTGCTACTGCTAAAACTCTCTACACTGCTGTGTTTTCACCTTGTGTGCGTGCCCCCATTTCCCATGCTACGGAGGAAGCTGAAGTCATCAGGCAGGAACTCTAAATTTCTCTGTAGCCCCTCACCCCTTACAACACTCTCTCTTTCTGAAGCGCAGAGAAAGATGCCCCTACTTCTCTCCAAGCTGCCTCTTTCAGCCTGGCCTTCACATCTTCTAACTTGCCCTTGAACTATGGTTTCCTCAACACTCTAGAGACTTCCTAAGGTGACCTCATCTCCTCTCACAGCTTTGAAACCACCACCAACATGCCCCTGCTCACCAGTTCTCTATCTGGAGTCTAAACCTGTCTCCTGAGTTCTCAGCCTTCTAGACATCTTCACTTAGGGGTTCCATGGGACCTTCAAATGCTACAGGTTAACCAATCTTTCATCATCCAAATATATTCTACCTTGTACAATCTAGTATTGGTTACTGGTATTACCATCCACTCAAACTATCATTTTAGGAGAAAATACCTAGTTTCTCCTTACCCATAAATCTTTACATCCATTGTAGTCCAGTAGACTCTTTTTCTTCTATTGCAATGTTTCTCCTATGGATTCCTTCTGCCTTTGCCTCACCCAGTGCATCATCTCTTGCCTGGTTTTGCTGTAGTCTGGTAACTGGCCTTCCTGCTAGCATTTTCTCCACCTTCCAGTTCTTCCTTTACATTGCCACAAATCTGATTATGTTTCTTGTCTGTTTAAAGCCTTCCAGCCGTTAACCTTTGCTTTTGGAATAAAGTTCAGCTCCCTGTCCTCAGGCCTGTCCTGATTGTGCCCTTGCCGGCGCCTCCAGCCTCGCCTCTTACAGGCTTCCTCAAATGCAGCCTGTACCCACGTGCCCCTTACAGAAGTTCTTGCAGTTCGTCAGGCAGCTGATGCTCTTCATGCGTACACCTTCACCCTCTGCTCTGCCCGGTGAGCTCGATCAGTTATGCTTATGATCAAATCTGTAATTTGTCTACAAAGGATTTTTTTCCCCTTCTAACCCGTCAGCTTAGAGCCACACATTCTGCATTTTTACACTTTAGATGCTTTTCGGATGCTATTATTACTTGCTCATGTTCAATTTAGAATAATTTAGTTTTATCCTAAAACCATTGAATTCCAGAATGGTAAAAGGTTGTGTAACTTTTTTTTGTGAATTTAGACCTAATACAATTAGAGTCAAAGTGCTGAATTATTCTAAGGGAACGTGAAAATTGTCATCTTAATTACTGCAGGTGTGAAAAAAGGAGCAAGTAGGAAAGCATTTCGTTTCCATGTCTATATAGAATTTACTAGAAAAAATGTGAGCTATTCTGTATTGGAAGATCAATGGAATGCTCCGACTATACACATTAATTAGTCACTATTGTGATGTACTTCTTCCTCTTTTGGGGAAAAACTATTTCTTGATTCTTCAGTACTTTATTTTGAGAGACTTACCAAAAGAGTCACACAAAGCTTTCTAATCAGATTTATGGGCATTCGTTTAAAAAGGTAGCCAAGAACAGCTATAGCTACAGCACAGGGAGTATGTTGAAATTGGCTGTAAGACTTTTTGGTGAAAATCAGGAATCCAGCAATTTTAGAGAAATCTATTTCTTATTTTTATTTGTTTTTAGAACAGAGAACCCTTAAAGAACAGAACTATATACAATGATCAAAATGCCTTTTTTTCCCCCTTGAGGTGGAAAACAGCATTTCATTGTAGCTGTGATTTACTGTCATTCCTTGAGTTCTCTCTCAAAATATTTTTCACCCCTTTGATTTAAAAAAAAAAACAAACCTTAAAAATTGCAGCATTCTGGCTCTGACACTTTCCAATTCCATGAATTTCTTTTTATTTCTGAGTTTTTATTTATTGATTGATACAGTGGTCCCACTATGTGTTGCCCAGGTTGGCCTCAAACTCTTGGGCCCAAGCGATCCTCCTGCCTTGCCCTCTCGAGTAGCTGGGACTACAGGCATGTACCACCACACCTGGCTTCTGAATTTTTTGAAGTGGCCATTACTGCTATATCAGCCAGCACTAAGAGTAGAGGTGATTGCCAATACATCTTTTATTACTCATTAGGGAGGAAAAATGAAAATGTCTTATGCCTGTACTCGCACACAGCTGCATTCTCTTCAGCCTTTGGTAGAAAACCCTTTGAATTTCTATCTACCAGCACTATTAGCCATAAAAAAAATTCTTGCCATTTGGGGAATAAAATCAGCAAAGACCTGGGTACGGTGGCCAGCAAAATGTTGGAACAGTGAATAGCTGCTGGCCTCGCCATACGGATTATACTGTTTTCAGGAGCACCCGAATGAGCAAGTTTACCACTAGGATCACCTAGACGGGAAAAAGGATTCAGCCAAGTTCCATTGGCAGTTGTGTTCCCTTTAGAGTTCTTGAGAACAAACTGAGGTAAAGAGTTGATTTTCTTGGAGAGCAAATCATTTACATAATATTTTAATTTATAATAAAGATGGACAGGTGCACTTACTCCCTAATGCGCTATCAAAAAAGCAAAAAGGCTAGGTGTGGTGGTGCATGCCTGTAGTCACAGCTACTCTGGAGGCTGACGTGGGGGAATCACTTGAGCCCAGGAGTTATAGAGTCCAGCTTGGGCAACATAGCAAGACCCTGTATCTTTTTTTAAAAAGGGAAAAAGGTTTCTTTCAGAAATTTTTCTTTTTTTTTTTAACTCTTTTATGTCATGAAATGTAAAATGCATATACAGAGTATACAAAACAAATGTGCAGCTTAATTAATGAACACCAAGCATAAACCTGTGGAACCATCATTTTGCTCAGGAAAGAGAATGATGCCAACACCCCAGTCACTACTGCCTCCTGCCCTGTGCCCCCATGGGTGCTCACTCTTCTGACTCAAAGACTTTTCCAGTGGGTTTCTACTTGTTTTCTGTGGGGTTGTGTGAGAGAAGGCAGAAACGTGGCACTGGGAGGGGAGGGGAGAGGTCTGAGGGTGGGTACCAGGAAAGGTTTGATGGCATCTTTATCTGGATTTTTTCCCATTTCTTCCACAATCCCTTAAGTCTAGGCATTGACTAGAGCCTGTTGTGATAGCTGCCATGCAGATTGCTCTTTATTAAAGCTGCAGTTATTCAGTTCCTCCAGAGTGTAGTAAATTCTGAACGACTCATTCTAAAGTGACCCTGTGGAGCTGATATGTACCTGATGCACAGTAGTAACTTGTTTCCACACAATTCCAGGACATTAGCTTATTGCCAGTGGGTGGACAATCTCAATGAGACCCGGAAGATGCTCTCTCTTAGTGGTGGTGGTCCCTTCAGCAACCTGCTGAGGTGGGTTGTGTGCCACATAACGAAAGGAATTGTGAAACGCGAGATGCACGGCCACGGCATTGGCCGCTTCTCCGAGGAAGAGATTTACATGCTGATGGAGAAGGACATGCGGTCTTTAGCAGGGCTTTTGGGTAATGTACCACACCTTCTATTTCTATATTTGCTATTCTTTCCTTTTGCATGATTAGTAAAACACTGTTGGTTCACTAATTTATGTTTTAATTTTGGTTGATTTCTTTGCTTCCATGTGTAGATTGCAGTCCCCACATTTAACCAAATCCTCTAATTTTCAAAAGCATGTGTCTTTCTACTTAATCACTGGTACTTGACTGTTTTTAGCATGGTGAGCCCGTGTGAAGAGAGTATGGAACATGCTTCAGCCTCACCACCTGGCTGCAAGTGATGCTGGCACTTCTGAATGTGCTGTAAGAAAACAGGGATTTTGAGCAAGGAAGCACTTTGGTTTATAAACAGGTCAGGGTCACAGGCTGCTTTAGGAACACGCTGCTCAGAGGTTCAACTGTGTGCCCATTGACGTCAAGAGTTTGAGAGGCCTGCTGACAGCACTGATTCTGATCCATTCCCTGTATATGTGGAACATTTGTCATTTTCTCACCCCTCTTATTCCTGGTCATATTCTTAGTCCTCTTATTACTAGCACATTTAGTAGTGTGATTTTGTATTTGTCACACACAATGATATAATTTTGTTTGGGAAACCACTAAAAGAGAAGCACAGAGAGCAGTGTGTACCCGCGGGCTGGTGAGGATGGCTGGGAATAGAATGATGTACTCTTGCTCCCCTGACCGGTTGAGGGGGCCTGGGCTGATGTGGTTCTTTACTGGGCAGAGCTTGATTCATAGCGATGACAATTCATAAACAGATATTGAATTCAGGACCTTCTATGTGTGAAATAATGGCTTCTCCTGGGGGATAGCTAATGTACAGGGAGCCAAGTCCTCCATGTGACTAGGTCATCTGACCAGGTCCTTTTGAGGGCTACTAGTTTTTTCTGCAGAAGGTGGGTTTTCACTGGCTCTCCCTCATCTGCAGTAATTTCCAGATTCACCCTCATCCTCATTCTAGAGCACATTAAGTACCTCACCTCTGCTAGGAAGTAGAGTTTAGAATTTGTTTTGTTGAAGACCACCTCGTGCCTTAGGAACTGGAAGCCATGCTGGGTAGAGGCCGTTCTGGATATAACCTGTCCCTTGCAGAGTGACCCACTCTGACTGCATCTTTCTGCTCTACATTTCAGACAGTTGCTAGACCTGAGGTCCTTCCTTGAACCCCAGCTTGCAGAGGGCAGATCCCAGTACCACATCCAGCTCTTGGCTAGCTTCATTACGGGAGTTATGTTCTGGGGGTGGGGGCTTGATACTGGCTGGACTCCTTCAAAAGCTCTGTCTGGCCTGCAGAATTGACATTGTCTAGGCCTTCTGTTGTTTTGCTCCACTGGGACCAGGTAGACCTGCTTGATGTAGATGTGAATGGAATTAACCTCAAGTTTGCCTCATTCCTTTGGAAACTTAATGCTGGACTCTTGGCCTCAGAAACCAGGCTCACAACTGGGCCATTTCTCCTTAACAATGGCTATGTCTGTTCCTGGCTTCTTCCCCTTCCTCACCGGCTCATGCTGTTGTGAGCCTCAGTAAGCAAGGAATTGAGCCCCTGGAATTATGACAGAAATTATGCTATAAGCACCACACATCTTTAACAGTGTTGCTTTTTTAACCAGAGAGGGGCGACCTTCACCTTTCGGGACATTTCTGGTTGGGAAAATCAGAGAGCAGGGTGATAGCAATAATAATGGTAACTGACAATTGTTTCTCTCGCGTTTAGCGATTTAGACAATGCTTTCTCCCCAGTTTTCAGGAGATAGAAGAAAAAGGAATCACTGATAGCTAGGCTGGATACATGATAAGTATTCAAAACAGCATTAAAAGTCTGGATTTTCTGGGATGAGAAGCTGAGCAGGCTAGTTGAAAAGTTGGAGTTAGCTGGCGTTATATTCTGTGAGGCCCAGGGAGCAGTGTAGTTGTGAACTCTGTGATAAGAGAAGCACTTTTTCTATATTTGGGGAGGGAGAGGCTCTTTGGCTGAATATCATAATTTGTCTTACTAAATGAGGCAAAAAGCCTCATTTCATTTATTGAATAAGTGAAATTCAAACTACCTCCCTGCCATCCCCACGGATGTGGCTCATTTTTGATGCCCAGATGCCTAAGAGACTCAAAATCCAAAATTACTTTTTGTTGAAATAGCTCAAGATTTGGGGAAATAATTGTCCATGGTTGTATATCTGACTCATCAGGATACATTAGTTATCAATGTTCCTGGTCAATCAACTTCAGTGATTTGAACATTTCCCAAGTGCCAGGAGCTGAGGAATATGAAGATGGGTTAGAGATTTTCCCCTCTCTCAACTAGCTTATAGTCCAGGGGGTGATGAGGCTGTAAACCAGGAGAGGCAAAGTACTGCTGATCCCTGGTGGCCTGTTTTCATATAGCCTGTGAGCTAATAATGGTTTTTACTTTATTAAAGTGTAGGGAAAAAATGCAACAGAAATGTGCCCATGAGGCCTGGAGAGCCTGAAATATTCACCATCTGACTCTTCACAGAAGTTTGCGGACCTCTGCTCCAAATGAGGATCTGCACAAGTCAGGCTGGGGCAAGTCCCACGACAGAGACGTGTACTTGGTGCTCTGGGATGAAATAGCAGGGGGGACTGGGGAGGGCCGTAGATGAGGCGGCAGTGTGTTGGCCCAAGAAAGAAAAGAGTTGTCCCAGTGAAGAAAATAAGGACTTTTTGGGAAAATCATGAGAAAAAGAATCCCAAGTGAGTGGCATTTGGGAATCATGGTTGAAATGAAGATTAAAAGATAGTTTGGGGCCATCTTATAAAGGACAGTAATTATCATGCTAAAAGATGTATACTTTATAATACAGAAACATGGTGATGTTGCAGATTGCTGAGAATAAGAGAGAAGGAGCCGCATGTGTGATCTAGAAAAGCGGCTCTGTTGATGTTGTGGGGGATGAATTAGGCCTGGTGGGAGGTGGTAAAGAGAGACAGGAGACAGGCATAGTGAATAGCTATGGATATAGTTTTAAAAATTGTAACTTAATTCAAACTAAAATAAATGAAATTCAAACTACATAAAACAGTTAAACAAAATGAGCTAATTTTTATTTTCATATCTGAAAAATACTCTGCAGTCAAATCAGGTAGAGTTAGAATAGAAAATATGATTTTATGATATAAAATACATTAATAATATTTATCATGAATTGCTAGGAGGACAGTCATAATTATCTCAGTACTGGGAAGACATTTGATGATGAAGTTTAGTATTCATTCCTGATAAACACTCTTAGTAAAATAGGACTCAAAGACTAGTTCCTGAACCCGATGGAAGGGTATTATATTAAGCCAACAACTGGTGTCATACTTAGTGTTGAGTCACTAGGAGCATCCCCAGTTAAATAAAATACCAAACAAAGATGCCTGCTCTTGCTATTATTTAATGTAGTTTTGGGAGGGTTCTGACAATGTAGTTGTACAACATGAAAGAAATATATCTTTGTATTGGAAAGGAGGAGACAAAATTAGTATTTATAGAAATTAGGAGATTATGTAGCTGATATAATGGAGAATCAACTAAAATTATTACAGTTAATGAGAGAATTCAGTAAGTTTACGAAGGATACAAAGCTAACATGTAAACAAGTTTTCTTGAGTATCTCAAATAACCAGTTGGAAAATATAATTTAAAAATATTAGGAGTATGATTTATACGAAATATTCAGGACCTACAGAAATAAAATGAAGCAATCCTAATAGGAGAAACATTTTTTTAGAAAATGGAGAGGTGTACCTTCGTTCTTCATTGACTTGAGAATGATAACTCCAGAACTCAAACCCCAGCTCTAAGGCCTTGGGCAAGCCTCTTGACTTCTCTGGGCCTGAATTTCCTTGTGTAAAGTAGGAACAGTAATGGTGAGAAGAAAAGTAATGCATGCAAAGTGCTCTGAAAAGTGGTCGGCATGTAGAAGTAATCAAACAGCAGGCAAATGTGGAGGGCAGGCGTGACCAGCATCTGGAAGGAGAGGTTTGTGGTGCTGTGAGAGCTGACAGTTGGAGGGTTTGCTTTTTTTTTTTTTTTTTTTTTTTTGAGACGGAGTCTCGCTCTGTCGCCCAGGCTAGAGTGCAGTGGTGCAATCTCGGCTCACTGCAAGCTCCGCTTCGCGGGATCACGCCATTCTCCTGTCTCACCCTCGTAAGTAGCTGGGACTACAGGCGCCCGCCACCATGTCTGGCTAATTTTTTTTGTATTTTTAGTAGAGACGGGGTTTCACCGTGTTAGCCAGGATGGTCTCGATCTCTCGACCTCGTGATCCGCCTGCCTCGGCCTCCCAAAGTGCTGGGATTACAGGCGTGAGCCACCGCGCCCGGCCGGGTTTGCTTTTTAATCCTCATGTTCTTATGTCCCCCTTGGGGAAGGTGTGTGTGTTCATAGCAGATAACTATGTGTAATGGTTGCCTGATGCCTCCACATGCCAGAAATACATACACTGTTTATTTCTGAACACTCCCAAAAAAGAATGAGAGTCAATAAAGAGCAAAGAAGACATGAAAATCAAAAACAGAGAGGTGAGGTTTTTGGGAACCAGCGTGGCTAGAGGCAGGAAGCCTAGTGGCTGGCATATGGGTGTGGGAATCCTGGAGTCAGATCCCGGGTTCACATCTGGGGCATCACCGCTTACCAGCTCTTTGATTTCACACAAATAACTTGAGTTGTTCATTTGCAAAATGAGGTTCAGAACAATACCTACATCACAGTGGGTGGGGACTAAATGAAATGCTTTCTGTAAAGTACTTACTGCAGGGCCTGACCCATAGGAAGTGCTAAATAAATAGTTATTCTCATAATCACTGTCACTGATTTTGTATGTAACACAACTTCATTGGAAACATTGTTTTCTGGGAAAAATGTCTTTATAACAAAAATCATTTTTCTGATTTTAGAATTTATTGTAGAAATTTGGGAAGGCTCAGAAAAGCATAAGGAAGGAAAATAAGTCACTGCAATTTTTAAAAAATATATTTTCCCATCCCTCTCTCACTTCTTGTTGCTGTAATCTTCTAACCCATTGCTAACAACTGTTACCATTTTGGTGCATATGTTTCCAATATTTTTATGCATAATTTTGAATCATCTATATATACATATTTGTACATATATATTTTCCATTTCTTCTATTTTGTGTGTGTGTGTGTGTGTGTGTGTGTGTGTGTGTGTGTGTGTGTGTTTGAGACGGAGTCTTGCTCTGTCGCCCAGGCTGGAGTGCAGTGGCGCCGTCTTGGCTCACTGCAAGCTCCGCCTCCCGGGTTCACGCCATTCTCCTGCCTCAGCCTCCCGAGTAGCTGGGACTAAAGGCGCCCACCACCATGCCCAGCTAATTTTTTTGTATTTTTAGTAGAGACGGGCTTTCACCGTGTTAGCCAGGATGGTCTCGATTTCCTGACCTCGTGATCCACCCGCCTCGGCCTCCCAAAGTGCTGGGATTACAGGCGTGAGCCACCGCGCCCAGCCCTATTTTTAAATATTCTATACCATGTGATTCTGTGTGCTGTGTATCACCCTTGGTGCCAGGAAAACTGATAGAAGATTTATCAGACAAAACCCTGCTTTGTCTTTTGCCTTTTTAGTATTTCTGTTATCAGGCCTACATAGATTACAGGTATGACCTTGAAGTGGATGCAAAATAAGACAATGAAAATAAGAATTGTATAGTTGTGTCCCATGTTAACACAGAGATCCCCAGCTGTGGCCATGAGATACAAAATATGAATGGAAGATAGACTCTAGTACAAAGTGAAAGGAACACCACCCATTTGACAGATAAGAAAAACGAGGCACAGAAAGGTTGAATGACTTGCCAACAATCACACAACCACTAACAAGTGAAGCCCAGACTCAAATCCAGGCTGTCAGACCTAAGGCCCCTGCTGTTTTCTGACCTGACTACTACCTTGGTTTCTTAAGAATTGTGCTTTAAATACAGAAGTTAAGTTATGTCAGGATGATTTCTTTAGAACATTTTCTAAAATTGCCACGACTTCCACTGGCAAGTTAAAATGTGGTCTTCAAAGTAATTTTTAAGTACGTTTGATTAGGTTGCCCCTGGAAGCAGAGTACAGATTTAAATGTGGAGCATTATCACTGATTTAGAGATCCTGAGCCTTGTGAGTTGAAGCTGTGCCCTTCATCGGGAGGCTTGCTGCCCAGCCTCTAGGATGAAATGCTTAAGGAGAAATGATCTCTTTTTGGGGGCTGCTTCTGAAAGAGCGAAGTGGTAAATGGAATTTGTAAGTGGAAGTGAAAAAAAAAATCTGATTTCCAGCAAACTTCACTTGATTAATAAAAAATGTAATATACTTTTCTTTTTTTCCAGGCTACAGCATTTTATTGAGTCAGAAAATGGCTTGCGGAGTCATTATTTTTCAGTCTTTGTTGACATTGGATCAACACATTTTTAAGAACCAGACTTTTTAGTTATTTTAGTAAACATCAGTGTGACCTTGACTATGTAATAAAGAGTAGGGAGTTGCAAAGTAGTGCGTCCCTTCAAAGGCAGTAAAAATGAATCATTTGCTGCTTCATGTCACCTTCCTAAGCATGTATAATGACAGTGTGGTTTTGCTTTTCAGAATGATTGAATTTTGCTGTAGAATAAAACAATCAAGCAACTTTGTTTTCCAAGTATATAGCTATTTGGGTGATCACTTAGTTCATGGAAGGTGAAAATATTCTCAGAGAACAGCAGGGTTAAGCTTTTGTGATTAGTCATAGAAAATCTGTAGGTTGCTCTTACCCAGAAATGCCTTTGGGGTTCCATCCCTCCAGATTGGGAAGCCTATACCATGAAGCAGTGTTGATGCTCTTCAGGGAGCAGATGACTATAGCAGAGTCAGGGAAACTCAGAGACAGGCATGTGTTGAGGGAAAGGTAAAGAAAATATGGGTGCAATTATGCCTTGCAGTGTAGGTCAAAAACCTTGGAAAGGCAGGTGCCACATTGCGGCCCTCTTATAGCTCTGGCATGCTGAGAAAGAGAGAACTGGCTTCAGTGAGCTCAGAATCCAAAGACAAGGCTGGACTCTTGTAGGAAATAGGCAGGGGGAGGGGGATGAGTAGGTTAACACATGTAGAAGAGCTACCCTCTGGGGAGTGTGCCTTGGGTTGTTGTCAAACCCTTTCTGTGGTTTTATACACCTTATCCTGTGGCTCTCAAGCTTCTCCGAGCACCAACACAAGATTGCATTTTGATGCTTCTGGAAAGCAGCTTTCTTCCCAGAGCTCAGAGCTATTCAGGAATGTTAAGGGGGCAACCCCTTGTGGGTGGGGGGGGGCGAGTGGGTTAAAGCTGGGCCTGAGTTTCTTCTCTTGATCTCTCTACTGACCCCTTAAAGCTCAGGGTGGGGTACAGGGTGCTAGGTGGCTGGATTTGATGATACTGATCATGATGAGGCAGCACAGATTACTAAAACCTAATGTTTGTTTGCTTTTAATTGGATTTGTATAGATCCTGGGTGGTGATACAGCAGCTATCTCATGGGAAAAGTAGATGAATAATTGGTAAATAGAGTTGGTTTGGGAGATACAGTCATATAGAGGGAGAAGAAGAAAAATACAGTTTCAGTTGTGAGGCTCAGCTGTGGACCAGTGGTGGTCAATAAATATCTGCTGGATGAGTGAATAAAAGAATGAATGAATGTCAGAATGCTGTTAGCAGATAGCCAAGCATGGACTCCAGGATCTGTGGATCTTAGGAGTGCTTTCTGAGCAAAAAATTTAAATTTGTAAATGTATTTAAGAGTAAGTAGGATCAGAAATAGTAATGGGCTGTGCAAGTGGAAACTGCGATGTTATTTTCAGCCACTTTTCTGTTGTTAGACACCTTAGGAGGAGAGTATACTTGTAATAATTAGAATTCAGGCAGAAGGGTAATTCCATTGACTTAGGACTGTGTGGTTAAACACATATGCCTTGAACAGTGTGCCAGGCTTTTTGTGAGGGGCTTAAGGGTTGGTGGTGAACACATTGGGCACAGCCCTGAGCTACCAGAGCTGCCACCTGAGGGAGATATTGCAGGTAAACATTTATAAAATCTCAGCACTTGTGAGGGGTGCCACTGTAAAGTGCAAAGTGCAGTGAGGAATTTTTTTGCAGGGGAAATGAACATGGTGGTGGTAGTGATGAAGAGGTGGTTCTGGAAGCCTTCTTCAAGGAGGTGACATTTACTGGTTTTTTTTTTTTTTTTTTTTTTTTTTTTTTAAGATGGAGTGTTGCTCAGTTGCCCAGGCTGGAGTGCAGTAGTGTGCTCTCAGCTCACTGTAGTCTCCGCCTCCCAAGTTCAAGTGATTCTCTTACCTCAGCCCTCAAGTAGCTGAAATTACAGGTGTGCGGCACCACACCTGGCTAATTTTTGTATTTTTATTAGAGATGGTCTTTCACCATGTTGGCCAGGCTGGTCTTGAACTCCTGACCTCAGGTGATCCACCTGCCTCGGCTTCCCAGGGTGCCGGGATTACAGGTGTGAGGCACTGCGCCTGGCCAAGGAGGTCATATTTAAGCAGCATTCTGAAAGATAAGCCCAAGTAAGGCAGGCATGTATGTAGGTGTGGGCAACAAGGGTGGGACAGTGAGTAGAATAGCGTGGACTAGAGAAGGAACATCATATGTAAACGGCCTGAGATGAACAGCAGCTGGGTGCTTTCAAGGAATGAAAAGGTGGCTAGTGTGTCTGGAAATTGTGTGAGAGCAGGAGTGGCATGAGGCAGTGGTGGCAGGGGCTGAGCTCACAGTCTTATGTGTAACATAAATAAATCTGGACTTTTTCCCAAGAGCAGTGGAAACCAGCAGAGGTTGAAAGTTGGGACATGGTGTGATCCTATATCCGTTTCATGTGCTGGAGGGGCCAAGAGTAGGTTTGGTGGCCCAGGGAAGAAGCTGTTGCCCAGGCTGTAGTGCAGTGACACAATCATAGCTCACTGAAGCCTTGATCTCCTGGGCTCAAGTGATCCTTCTGCCTCATTGTCCTGAGTAGCTGGGACCACAGGCGTGTGCTACCACGCCCAGCTAATTTTTGTATTTTTTGTAGAGACGGGGTTTTGTATTTTGTATTTTTTGTAGAGACAGGGTCCAGGAAAGATAAGATGGTGCTTGGATTATAGGCATGGTGATAGAGTTGGGCAGAAAGTTATGAATGAGAACTATGTTTTAGAGACAGAACTGAGAAAGTTTAGTGATTTGATGTGTATGTGTAGAGGGGGAGGGTTGTGGTGATGGAGAGGGGCGGGGTCAGGCATAATCAGGTTCTGGACATTAAAACTTAGTGGATGGCTGGGTGTGGGGGCACGTGTCTATAGTTCTGGGTACTCAGGAGGCTGAGGCAATGGGAATCGCTTGAGGCCAGGAGTTGAAGGCTGCAGAGAACTGTGATTACAACTGTGAATAGCCACTGCACCCCAGCCTGAGCAACATAGCAAAACCTCATTTCTGAAAAGAACCAAAAAACAAAGGACAAATAAACATTATTGATGAGGTAGCCATTCACAGAGTTGGAGGACACTGGAGAAGAGGGGAAGATCATGAATTTCAGGTGTGGGTATGCTGAGTTTGAGGTCCCTATGAGACAGACACATGAGTAGAGATGCAGTATATGATAAAGGCAGCCGTGATCAGTGGAGGAAAGACAAATTCATTCAATAAATGGTGCCAGGACAGGTGGCTAACCATTTGGAACAACATAAGTTCAATTCTGACTTCATGTCAGAATAAATTCCAAATGAATCAAGCATTTAAATGTGAAACATAAAACCATAAACATAAAACCATAAAGGTGCCAGAATAAAATATGGGAAACTTATAGAATGTTGAGCTTAGGAAAGTTTTTCTAAACATGGTGCCATAGGGTGAAACTATAAAAGAAAAGTTGAATTGCTTGATGACATGAGAAAAAAGAAAACCAACCTCCTGTATATAAAAAAATTGCCATATTTAAAGTTGAAAGGGTAAGCTGGAAAAATGTTTGCAACATGTGACAAAAGAATATTAACATTTGAAGAGCTTTTATAAATAAATAAGAAAAGTGAATACTTAAGGGGGAAAATTGGTCAGAAGACATATAAAGAGGTAATTTACAAAAACAATACAAATGATGAATAAATATATTAAAAATGTTCAACCTCTTTATTTGTTTACTTATTTTTGTTGAGACAAGGTCTCACTCTGTTGCCCAGGCTGTAGTGCAGTGGCACAATCATAGGTCACTGAAGCCTTGATCTCCTGGG